>NC_000007.14:152337167-152488682 GCF_000001405.40 Homo sapiens
GCTGAGGTGGAAGAATCACTTGAGCCTGGGAGGCAGAGGTTGCAGCTGCACCAAGATCACACCACTGCACTCCATCCTGGGTGACAGAGCAAGTCCCTGTCTCAACAACAACAATAAAAAAGAGAACCTAATCACATGTAAGTAGATTCCTAAGAGAACTTGAAGACAATGTGCACTTCATTAAATAGCATCAGCTATGTGCCAGGCATTATCTCTGGGGATGCAAAGATAAATTAGATCTAACCCTTTCCCTTAAATAAGTTCATAACATACCCTCTTTTAAACCTTTACTTTTCCACCTCCAATGACTCTAATTTATCCTACACAAATTGGTTCTAAGACATGAGAAAGTTTAATAGCAAAAGGTGTCTGCTGTGTTAGTTAAAACCAAAGGCTTGGAATCCAATGGTTCCGAGTCTGCATTCTAGCTCTGCCATCTGCTAGCAATGTGACCTTTGGCAAGTTACTTAACTTCATCTCAATTTTACTTTGCTCGTCATTTAAGACAGACAATACCACCTAGTATAAAACTGTCTTTATGATCCAAAAATAAAAAAAAAAGAACGCATGAAAAGCACTTAGCTCAACGTCTTAAGTGTAGTGATGTAGCTGCTATTCTGATGACCTCTATCTACATTCACACACTATAGTCTATGGATTCACTTGTCCACCTCACTTATACAACTTGATTTTTTTTTTTTTTTTTAAAGACAGAGTCTCGCTCTGCCGCCCAGGCTGGAGTGCAGTGGCGCGATCTCAGCTCACTGAAAGCTCTGCCTCCCAGGTTCACGCCATTCTCCTGCCTCAGCCTCCCAAGTAGCTGGGACTACAGGCGCCCGGCACCACACCTGGCTAATTTTTTGTATTTTTTTAGTAGAGACGGGGTTTCACTGTGTTAGCCAGGATGGTCACGATCTCCTGACCTCGTGATCCGCTTGCCTCAGCCTCCCAAAGTGCTGGGATTACAGGCATGAGCCACCGTGCCCAGCCCTCACCTACTCAATTTCTAACTCTTGATGTCACATCATGAATTATTAAATTGCATTATGAGAATTAATGAGAATAAAGAAGACATTTATTTAGCCCCCTCCGATCTATGCTCCAGAGTTAATATATCATTAATTTAGAATGGTTATTTACCAAACAAAATTTTGAGTAACAAGTACATACTATAATTTCTATTCAAATGGTAGTCATTACAAAGATAGTCAAGATCCCTACGTTTAATGGATCTAGATGAAAGACTGAAAATAAAAATAGGACACAATAATGATGATGCTGGTAAGCACATGGCATGATGGGAGTTAAGGGGAAGAGGTGGGGAATACAGCTCAGAAAGGCTTCAGAAAGGTATTAGAAGCCCAGCTAAAACTAAAAGGATAAATCAAAGTGTGCCTAATAGTTCTCTCTCAAGTTTTCTCTTTTAAAAAAAGAATAACATCTAACATATTTTCTTCATTCAAAAGATAAGGAAACTAAAATCTGAAAGTTAATTACAAGCTCAAGATCACAAAGCTAATAGGAAACAAAGCTGGGATACAAAATCGGGTTGTGTAACTCTAAAGCCTGATGTGCTCTTTTCACTACTTCCACCGCCTGGCAGAGCATCAAAGTGTAGCATGTAAGTTTTATAAATACATCAATATTAAAGAGAAATGTTAACAGTCTTACTAGGACCATGTTACTGAGGGATCACTTACTGAATATAAACACTATGAGATAACTAAAAATACTCTTTTTTAAGCACTGCTGAATAAAATTATGAAGTGGACAGAACATTTATCTCACAGCCAAGTTCACAGAAATAAAGCATTTTGATTTTGAACAATTACAAAAGTATTTCCCTCAAAGGTTAAATACTTCTTTGAAAGGACTGTGTGTAGCCTACAAATATACTGAACAAACTTACCAACACTGATAGCATAACAGGCTATGTCAAAAATATTTTAGAGGTCAATTTTGGACTCCCTTATCAATACATTAGTATATTCTTTCAAAGCGTCCTACTTTTTCAATGGATTTTTAAAGTTTACTCACTCAAGGGTTATAGGATTTTAGAGGGAGAAATTACTTCTTTATTTTTACTAACCTCTAATTTTTATTCACTTCCAAAATTTAGAATTCTAAGAAAATATTAAGAATGTAAGCAACAAGCACAGTGGTATTGGTGGATACCTAAGTGTTTGTCACCAACAGAAATCACGGATATTTTCTTATCACATGCAGTTGTTGCAGATATCCCAAAATATCATTCACCCTCATCACTACTTCAAAATTACAGTAGTTATTAAATTCACTGCTAGATTTTATAATTTAAGTGAATTAAAAAGATGTTATAAGATTACAAGTTTGGCTTATTTTTATTTCAATGCAATTGTTTATCTTTGTAATCCTATTTTGGTGTATTTTTATTTTATTCATTTAAAAACATTATTTGAAAAAGAGTCCATGGATTACATCATAGTACCAAAGGGGACTATGGCACTGAAAAAGTTAAGAACCCCTGTTCTGTATGTGCCATTCACAGGAGACCACAGCCCCAATTTGACTATATGCTCTATGAAAACAGGCACTGTATCTGTTTTTATAAACCAGAGCTACCACAAAACCTGAATGATGTTCGATAGTTGCTTAATTAATATTATATAATATAAAGCAAGCAGATAAATCTCATATATAGATACAAAGATTTATAAAAAGCACAGAGAAAAATAATATATTTAAAATGAACTCATATTTACTAACTATGCAAGTAAACACTGACATTCATTATCGACTAGTTATCCAAAAAATATGCCTTCTCCCTCTATGCTTTAATCAACTTTTTTTTTTAAGAGATGGGCTCATGCTCTGTCACCCAGGCTAGAGTACAGTGGCACAATCATAGCTCATCAGAACCTCAAACTCCTGGGCTGAAGGTATCCTCCCACCTCAGCTTCCCCACTAGCCAGGACTACAAGGCACATGCGATCACGCCTGGATTTTTTTTTTTTTTTTTTTGGTAGAGACAGGGATTAACTATGTTGCCCAGGCTGGTCTCGAACTCCTGGGCTCCAGTTATCCTCCCACCTCAGCCTCCCAAAGTGCTAGAATTACAGGCATGAGCCACCATCACCATGCCCAGCCTAATCAGCTATTAAATAGAATAACTGACTTCCCTTAACTCCAGAGAATGGCAATACTTTTCATGCTTGCTTCCTACTAAAACTACAGAAGAAAACATAGCTAAGAAATTGTGTAACCATGTCCCTCCCTTCTTTTGAAAGAAGTCTGCCTCCTGACAGTTATGTTTTCTGGATATATCTCATTGAATCTAGTGTATCCAATGTCATCAAAATTGTACTGTAAAGCTAAAACATTAGCACTATATTAGAAAAAGCAAATTATTTATTAACACTATCTTTATTCACTAAACTACTTAAAATATTGACACTGATTAATAATATGAATATAGTTGCTGCTTTCACAGAACAATGTAAGCAACTAAAAGTAAATACACAAAAAAAGCACTAATTTTCTCTGAGAGTTAACACTTTTACAGGTGACTTACTCTCTTTATAATTACCCACAGTTCCATAAATTTCTACAAATATACATTACTGTTATAATATTTAATGTGATTTTTTAATGCAAATTCAAAAAGCTTAAGAGTCCAATACTTGTCAAAAGCCAAAAAATATGCGGGCATTAATTTAAATAGTAATTGTTTAAGCAGGATAGACTGCTAATAAATGAAAAAAAATAGTAACTGTTGGAAGTCAACTGTTCTCTAGGTGTTTTATTTAGTTGTTATCAGTATTTCCTTTAGTTTTCCTACATAACTTTTAAATGTTAATGGAATTTTTTGCAATTAATAAAAGAAACTAAAATAAACCAACAAATTACAACATACATCTTTATAACAATTATTTCTACCAATATTGATCTTCTTCTGAAATTTAACTTTATTTAGGCCTTAAAAACAAAAATGAACCAATGAAACTGTCTTGGACCCTCTAGACCAGCCCAGGTGTCACCTGAATAGCAATAAATGACTCTGGTGGATGCCAGCAGAGCAGAACTGCCCAGCCAAGCCTGACCTAAATTCCTAACCCACAAGATCATGAAATATGTTTGCTTTTTAAGCCACTGTGTTCTGAAATGATTTGTTACGTGGCAATAAGAAGCTGAATTTTTCATTTTAAACTTCAGTTTGAAAATTATGTATGGCTTATCAAAGACATATAGGTGTCTTTGCTTCACCATCTCTTCAACTAAACCATCGAAGCAGTCAGTATTTCAAACACTGACAGTAACTACAAAAGAAAAAAGCTCAGAGGGTTTTGCTCCAGTCCAGAAGTGACCCATATGATTTCCACCCACAATTCACTGGACACAGTCACATGGGCCTGTCAAGCAGGCTTGGAGCTGTGTAATTCCACCACATATCCAGAAGGGAGAGTGCCAGAACTATTTGACAGACAACACCAATATCTACCACCACAGTATATAATTTTAAATAATATACTAAAGTTAGGGAAAATTTTATCCAAAGAAAAACCTGATACTTCAAAAAGAGAAGTGTCAATTACAAACTTTCATATCAAAAAAAGATAAGAAAGGACAGGTAAAGTTAAATTGTTAGGCCAATTAATGTAATAAGAATCCAGGCTTTTTCTTTGTGCCAAATGTCACCATAATCTGTTGTGAATTAGCAGCTAGACTCAAAATGTACAAACAATAATTTGGGGTGTCCACTTTTTAAAATAATAATATCACTAAAGTTTCTATTCTTGTAAATAAAGGCATATGTAGGGTTTATACAAAGCTGTATACTTAAACCATATGCAAATAACCAAAAGGCGCTGAAGTAAAGTAACACGTGTATGGCTTTGGAACTCCAATTCCACCTGTCTCATCAAGTGTACTGACAAAGCAAAAGACCCCTATCTTGTCTATGTCAATTAAATACTAACATCTGAAAACCACCACTAAATAAGAACCAATAGTCATTACATAAGCAACAGCTAAAAATTAACAAATAATTAGACCAGAAGATAATCTAAGATTTTGATACATAACTCAAGGCAGTATGATAGACATCATTAGTGGAAATCCCTCAAAGGTTAGTCACAAATGGTAATCTTGATATTAAATCCGATAGTTTTACTATTTTAATAAGAATTATTATTTATGAGACATATTTATAATAATGGATAGGTATTAACTTAGTTATTGTTAACAATTATAATCCATTCCACTATAGTTAGAACTGGCTTACCAAATTAGAAAAGGGATATAACTATAGTTAATACATGTAAAAAGCTAAACTGAAAAATCAACAACTCTTGCTAGAACCATAAGGTCAATAAAGTCACAGGGCAAACAGGTACCCTCAGAACTGGAGGAATAGACATGAATCACAACTTACCTGAGCAGAAACCCATGGGTAAAAAGCTCCATGGGTACAAAAACCTGAACCATAATTGACAAAACGTTGGAGGTTCAGTGTGGACGAGTCTGGAAGATACAAACTACAGAGGGACCCAGTCATCGTGGGGCCCCACGGTTTTGTGTTTTACCTCTAGGAGCTCTACCAGTTTCTCACAGTGAACTTCACAGAAAAATATCTTCTTGCTTTCAACAGCAGGAGGGGAAAAGGAACCATTTCTCTTAACAAGGCCTGCCTTCAGGAGAAACTATTTAACTAGAGCCTAACCTACGAGAAGAGAAATAAACTCCAGCCAGTTCTAGCCTAAGAGAACTATCTAACTTTAGCCCATTCTAGGCCATTCTGCCCCACCTAAAAGCAGTGAAAGGGCAGGGTGGGGAGGAAGAGTAAAAAATTCAGACTTCCCCCTCCTCCTACAAGGCCCACCACATTACTACAGGCCTATTTACAGCTGTTGTCTTTACCCAGTGTACTACACCTGGCTATCGAGAAAAAAAATTACAAGGTATACTAAAAAGCAAAAAACACAGTATAGAGCAACATCAGAACTAGACTTGGATGCAGGAAGGAATTTGAAATGATCAGATGAGGAATTGAAAGCAACTATGATTAATATGCTAACGGTTCTAATGGATAAAGTAGACAGCATGCAAGAAGACGTGGGCAATGTAAGCAGAGAACTCGAAATTCTAGAGATTAAAATGATAGAGATTTTTTTAAAACTAACAGAAATGATGAATGCTTTTAGTGGGTCTATTAGTAGACCTCACACAGCTGAGGAAACAATCTCATTGCTTGAAGATATTTCAAAAGAAACTTCCAAACCTGAAAAGCAAAGAGAAAAAGACTGGGAAAAAAAAAAAAAAAAAGAACAGAATGTTTAATACAGAAAACTACAAAAAGGTAACATGTAATGGAAATACCAAAAAGAGACAAAAGAGAGGAAGAAGAAGAAATATTCCTCAAATTAATCTCAGAAACCAAATGACAAAGAACATCAAAAAGGATAAATGCCCAAACAAACTACACCTGGTCACATCATATTAAAAACCACAGAATACTGAAAAAACCTAAAAGAGGTCAGAGGGAAAAAAATACCTAAGGTAACAATTACATCAACTCAGAAACCATGCAAGCAAGAAAAGAGGGAATGAAATATGTAACATGTTGAGAGAAAGAAAACATCAACCTAGAATTCTGTACCCTGCAAAATTATCCTTCAAAAGTGAAGGCTTTCTCAGGCAAACAAAAATTTAAGAATTTGTTGTCAGATGACCTACCTTGCAAGAAATGTTAAAAGTCCTTCAGAGAGAACAAGAACGGTACAGGTCAAAAACTTAGACCTATATCAAGAAAGGAAGAGCATCTCAGAAGGGGCAAGTGAAGATAAAATTTTAAAAAAAAACTTTTTTCTTATTAACTGATCTAATAGATAAGTTTGTTCAAAATAATATCTGCAACAATGTATTCAATTATGATTGCTTATGTATAAATACATATGCTTATGTATAACTGAAATGACTGACAGCAACAATACAAGGGATGCGAGGAAGGAATTAGGATTATTTTGTTCTTATAAAGTACTCACATTACAAGTGAAAATTACAGTGGTGCCATCTTATCCATGGGGAATATATTCCAAGACCCCAGCGGATGCCTGAAACCAAATAACAGCAAACCCAATATATCCAGTATGCTTTTTCAATCATACTAAGATGGCTACTAAGTGACTAACAGGCAGGTAGCATATACAGTATGGATGTGCTGGACCAAGAGATGATTCACATCTCAGGCTGAAAAGCACAAGATTTCATTATGCTACTGAAAACAGCGTACAACTTAAAATTTATGAATTGTTTATTTCTGGAATTTCCCATTTAGTATTTTCAGACCACGGTTAACTGGAGGTAACCAAAACTGTGAAAAGCAAAACCACAGTTAAAGTGGGACACTACTGCACAGTGTTATTAGAAAGTAGACTTGGGTTTGTTGTAAACATATATTACAAACTCTAAGGCAACAACTCAAAAAAAAAAAGAGAGAACTGTGCTAAGAAAGAAGAGAAAACAGAATCATACAAATTGCTCAATTAAAACCACAAAAGGCAGGCTGGGCATGGTGGCTCACGCCTGTAATCCCAGCACTTTGGGAGGCCGAGGCGGGCAGATCACAAGGTCAGGAGATCGAGACCATCCTGGCTAACACAGTGAAACACCGTCTCTACTAAAAATATTAAAAATTAGCTGGGCAGGAAAGCATGCGCCTGTAGTCCCAGCTACTCGGGAGGCTGAGGCAGGAGAATGGCGTGAACCCAGGAGGCGGAGCTTGCAATGAGCCAAGATGATGCCACTGCACTCCAGCCTGGGCAACAGAGTGAGACTCTGTCTCAAAAAATTATAATACAATAAAATAAAATGAAACCACAAAAAGCACAAAAAGAGTGGAAGACAAAAATATGAACAAAGAACAAGGACAATAAATAGAAAACAGTTAACAGATATGGTAGATATCCATTCCATTATATCAACAATCACTCTAAAGCTGGGCATGGTGGCTCATCCCAGTAATCCCACCACTTTAGGAGGCTGAGGCCAGCATTTCAAGACCAGCCTGGGCAACACAGCGAGAACCCGTCCCTCCAAAAAAACTATTTTTTTTTTAATTAGCCAGGAGTGGTGGTGTGCACCAGTAGTCCCAGCTACTTGGGAGGCTGAGCACAGGTAGTCCCAGCTACTTGCGAAGCTGAGGTGCGAGGATGGCTTGAGCCCAAGAGTTCAAGGTTACAGTGAAATATGATGGCACCACTGCACTCCAACCTGGGTGATACAGTGAGATTCTGTCTCTAAAAATAAAGAAGAATCACTTTGAGTAACAATGGTCTAAATATACCAATTAAAAGACAGAAATTGTTATAATAGGTTGTGTTTGTTTGTTTGTTTGTTTTGAGACAGAGTCTTGCTCTGTCGCCCAGGCTGGAGTGCAATGGCACGATCTCAGCTCACTGCAACCTCCACCTCCTGGATTCAAGTGATTTTTGTGCCTCAGCCTCCTGAGTAGCTGGGACAGTACCCGCCACCATGCTCGGTTAATTTTTGTATTTTTAATAGAGGTGGGGTTTCACCACGTTGGTCAGGCTGGACTCAAACTCCTGACCTCAGGCGATCCACCTGCCTCAGCCTCCTAAAGTGCTGTGATTCCAGGTATGAGCCACCGCACATGGCCTAGAATAGATTTTTTAAAAAGAAAACCCAAGTACATATTGTCTACAAAAAAACCCCACTTTAACTATAATATAAAGATACATACGGATAAGAAATAAATGGATGGAGAAAGATATTCCAGGCTAAAAATAATCAAAAGAAAGCAGGAGTAGCTATATTAATTTCAGACAGCTCAGATGTCAAAGTTATCAGGAATAAAGAAAGGCATTTTATAATGATAAAGGGGTTAATTCCCAAGACATCAGTGTGTCTAAACAGAACATCAAAATATGTGAAGCAAAAAAATGATACAATCTCAAGGAGTAAGAGATGAACCCACTATTATCGTTGGAAAGTTTAACACCCCTCTCAGAAATAGATCTGGCGTGCAGAAAATCAACAAAGACATAGTTGAATCTGACACCGTTAATCAACTGGAAATAACTGACATCTAAAGACTACTTCATCAACAATAGCAGAATACACATGCTTCTCATCCACATGGGACACTTACAAGGTAGACCACATTCTGAGCCATAAAACATACCTTAACAGATTTTTAAAAATAGAAATCATACAATGTCTGCTCTCAGATCACGTCAGAATTCAACTAGAATTCGGTAACAGAAAGATAGCTTAAAATCCCAAAATACTGAGACATTAAACAATACACTTCTAAATAACACATAGGTCAAAGAAGAAATCTCAAGAGAAATTGAAAAATATTTTAAACTAAATGAAAATAAAAAGAAAATTTGTGAGATGCAGTGAAAGCAGTGCTTAGAGGAAAAGTTATGGCATTTAACACATATACAGTTGACCCTTGAACAATGAGAGGGTTAGGGGCTCCAACCCCCCCACCACACAGTCAAAAATCTGTGTAACTTTTGACTCCTTGAAAACTTAACTACTAATAGCCTACTGTTGACAGGAAGCCTTACCAATAACATAAACAGTAGATTAACAAATATTTCTGTGTTGTATTATATACCGTATTCTTACAATAAAGTAAGCTAGAGAAAAGAAAATGTTATTAAGAAAATCATGGCCAGGCACAGTGGCTCACACCTGTAATCCCAGCACTCTGGGAGGCCGAGGCGGGCGGATCAGGAGGTCAGGAGATAAGAGACCATCCTGGCTAACACGGTGAAACCCCGTCTCTACTAAAGATACAAAAACTTAGCTGGGCGTGGTGGCATGTGCCTATAATCCCAGCTCAGGAGGCTGAGGCAGGAGAATCGCTTGAACCCGGAAGGCAGAGGCTGCAGTGAGCCAAGATCGTGCCACTGCACTCCAGCCAGGGAGACAAGGAAAAGGAAAAGGAAAGAAAAGAAAAGAAAATCATAAGGAAGAGAAAATACATTTACAAGACCATACTGTATTTACTGATACCATAAGTTTATGTCACCTGTTTACAAGACTGTCTACCTGAAATAGTGGGCAACCTCAGCTACAGACTTCCATCTATGGTACACATCAAGCAGTTCAACTTTTTCTTGTATGTCATGACTTTGCTTCTTGTAGGGAGCACTTTAAGCATCATTAGTGGCACTTCATATGGGTCCCGTGGTGTTATGCACAATTTATAGCACTGCACTGAACATGGTGAAAGATACATGAGAAGCGCCAGATCACTTTTTACCAAGATACCCAATTTACTGGAGAGATGAACTGCTCAAAGATGATTGGTATCCCATGGTGTTTTAATCAGATATTTGCAACACTTGAGTTCACTGCAATAACAACAGGAGGTGGCCACATAATTATTACAGTTGTACAGTATGTACTACAGTAAATTTTATTCAGTTATTATTTAATACTACATCTTTACATTTGTTTACATTTCTCTCAATTGCCAATGGTACCACATACAGTCTTTAAGTGTGTGCTTAAGTTTTGATAAATTTTAACTTTCAGTAATAGATTTGTGTATATTTTATGGTAGTAAACAATAAAACAGACAAGTATCTACATATACTTTATGCATTCATGCATACCTTTTTCTTAATTTTTTAAATATTTCTAGGCTACACAGTCCATCTACGCATTTTTTCAAATTGTCACGAATCTCCACGAAAAATTTCCAATATATTTACTGAAAAAAATCCATTTATCAGTGCATGCACATGGTTCAACCCCAAGCTATTAAAGGGCCAACTGTTTCAGAAAGGAGGGAAAATCTACACTCAGTAATATCAAAAATGAAAAATGGGACATCACTACAGATCCCATGGAATCTTAAATATTCAAGAAATACTATTAACAACTGTATGCCCACAAATTTGATAACCTAGATGAAATGGACCAATTACTTAAAAGACACAATATGCTCAAGCTTACACAAGAAGAAATAATCTGAATACGTCTATACCTATTAAAACAAATTGAATCAAAAATTAATAAACTTCGAATATTGAACACACCCAGTTTGGTTCATTGCTGAATTCTACCAAACATTTAAGGAAGAAATTATACCATTTCTCTATACTCTCTTTCAGGAGATAAAGCATAGGGAAGGCCAGGCATGGTGGCTCACATCTGTAATCCTAGCACTTTGGGAGGCCGAGGCAGGTGGATCACCTGAGGTCAGGAGTTCGAGATCAGTCTGACCAACATGGTGAAACCCCGTATCTTCTAAAAATACAAAAAAAGTAGCCAGGCATGGTGGCAGGTGCCTGTAATCCCAGCTACTGAGGAGGCTGAGGTAAGAGAATCGCCTGAACCCGGGAGGTGGAGGCTGCAGTGAGCCGAGATTGTGCCATTGTACTCCAGCCTGGGCAACAAAAGCAAAACTCTGTCTTAAAAAAAAAAAAAAAAAAAAAAAAAGAAAGAAAGAAAGAAAAAAAGCATAGGGAATACAGACACCTCACCAATAAACATAAACAGATGGGCAGATAAGCATATGAACAGATGTTCCACATTATATGTTATCAGGGAAATGAAAATTAAAACAACAGGGCATCACTACACACCTATTAGAATGGTCAAAATCTGGAACACCAACACCACCAAATGTCAGTAAGTACACAGAGCAACAGAAACTTTTATTCATTTCTAGTGAGAATGCAAAATGGCACAGCCACTTTGGAAGACAGCTTGGTGGTTCCTTACAAAACTAAACATACTCTTGCCATACAATCCAGAAATCATGCTGCTTGGTATTTATCCAAATGAGTTGAAAACTTACATCCACAACAAAAATTGCACATAGATGTTGACAGAAGCTTTCTTAACTGCCAAAACCAGGGTGCAAATAGAAATTCCATCAGTAGGCAAATGGATAAACTCTGGTCCATCCAAACAATACAATATTATTCAGCACTAAGAAGAAATGCACTATCAAGACATGAAAAGACACGGAGGAGGGCTGGGCGCGGTGACTCACGCCTGTAATCCCAGCATTTTGGGAGGCTGAGGCGGGTGGATCACCTGAGATCAGGAGTTCGAGACCAGCCTGATCAACATGGAGAAACCCCGTCTCTACTAAAAATACAAAATAGCCAGGTGTGGTGGTGCATGCCTGTAATACCAGCTACTCGGGAGGCTGAGACGGGAGAATCACTTGAAACCGGGAGGCGGAGACTGCAGTGGGCCAAGATCACACCATTGCACTCCAGCCTGGGAATACAGAGCAAGACTCCATAAAGAAAGAAAAGAAAAGAGAAAAGAAAAAAACAGAAAAGGATGTGGAGGAAACATAAATGCATATTATTAAGTGAAAGAAGCCAGTCTGAAAAGACTACATATCCTATATGATTCAAACTATTTGACACTCTGGAAAAGGCAAAACTATGGAGACAGTAAAAAGAATAGTGGTTGCCATAGGTTAGCAAGGAGGGAGGGAGCAAGGAGGGAGGGATTAATAGGTGGAACACCTATTAATTTTTAGGGCAGTGACTATGATACTATAATGACAGATACCTGTCATTATACCTTTGTCCAAACCCATAGAATGTAAACCAAGAGTGAACCCTTATGTGAACTATAAACTGTGGATAATGTGTCAATGTAGGCTTAAAAAATTGTGACAAATGTACCACTCTAGTATAGGATGTTGATACTGAAAAAGGCTATGCACGTGTCGGGGAAGGGGATTTATGGGAGATTTCAGTACCTTCCTCACAATTTTGCTACAAACCTAAAATTGCTCTGAAAAATAAAGGCTATTTTTGGCCAGGTGCAGTGGTTCATGCCTATAATCGCAACACTTTGGGAAGCTGAGGTGGGCGGATCACCTGAGGTCAGGAGTTCAAGACCAGCCTGACCAACATGGAAAACCCTGTCTCTACTAAAAATACAAAATCAGCTGGGCGTGGTGGCACATGCCTGTAGTCCCAGCTACTCGGGAGGCTGAGGCAGGAGAATCGCTTGAACCCAGGAGGCAGAAGTTGCAGTGAGCCGAGATTGCACCATTGCACTCCAGCTTGGGCAAGAAGAGTGAAACTCTGTCTCAAAAAAAATAAATAAATAAAATAAAGTCTATTTTTAAAAACTTATGCTAGAAGTAACTGAATGTATCGATGTGAACTCACATTTGTAAGTGTGTGTATAGATCTATGTAATTACAGTCCTCTCAGAACAGGGATATGTTCTGAAATATTCATCATTAGGCAATTTTGTCACTGTTACACAAACCTAGATGGTATAGCCTACTAAAAACCTAGGCTATTTGGTACAGCCTAGTACTCTAGGCTACAAACCTGTACAGCATGTTACTGTACGCAACTATAACACAACAGTCAAGTATTTGTGTATCTAAATATATGTAAACATAGAAACAATGGTAAGAATACAGTGTAAAAACACAAAAAATGGTACACCTACATAGAGCACTTACCATGAATGGTGCTTGTGGGACTAGAAGTTGCTCTGGGTGAATCACTGAGTGAATGTAAAGGCCTCAAACATTACTATGCACTAAAGTAGGCTTTATAAACACTGTACACTTAGGCTACACCAAATTTTTAAAATATTATTTTTCTTTGCTCAGTAATAAATTAACCTTAGCTTACTGTAACATTTTTACTTTATAAACTTTTTTTAAACTTTTTGACACTTTTGTAATAACACAGCTTAAAACACACACTGTACAGCTATACAAAAAAAATCTTCCTTTCTACCCTTATTCTGTAAGTTTTTTGGTTTTAGGGTTTTTCTTTTTTGTTTCTCTGTTTTTGTTTTAAACTTAGCCCAGGCCTACACGAAGTCGGGATCGTCACTATCACTGTCTTTCCACCTCCACATTTTGCCCTGCTGGAAGGTCTTCAGCGACAATAACACACAAGGAGCTGTCATTTCGTATGATAACAATGCCTTCTTCTGATATAGCTCCTGAAGGTTCTGCCTGAGGCTGTTTTACAGCTTTTTTGCTTAAGAAAAGGGGTACACTCCAAAATAATGATAAAAAGTATAGTATAGTAAATATATAAACCAGTAACACAGTCACTTATTATCAAGAGTTATGTACTGTGCAAGAGTGTATGTAGTGTACTTTTGTATAGTACATGTAATTGGGAGTACACTGGGTTTGTTTACACCAGCATCACCACAAACATGTGAGTAATGCACTATGTTGCGCTGTGCTATGACATCACGACAGCTATGACATCATGACAGCTATGACATATTGAGGTGACAGAAATTTCTCCGCTCCATTATAATTTTATGGGACTACTGTCATATATGTGATCTGCTGTCATTATGCAGTGCATGACTGTACTAGTATATGACTAAAGTGGACTCACATAACTAATTCTCAACAGTAACAATTGTAATATGCATCCCTTTGTTGTGGGAAGTCAGGGACCCCAAACTGAGGGACCGGCTGAAGCCATGGTGGAAGAAATAAATTGTGAAGATTTCACAGACATTTATTAGAGCCCCAAAATAATACTTTTATAATTTCTTACGCCTGTCTTTACTGTAATCTCTGAACATAAATTGTGAAGATTTCATGGGCACTTATCACTTCCCCAATCAATACCCTTGTGATTTCCTATGCCTGTCTTTACTTTAATCTCTTAATCCCGTCATTTTCATAAGCTGAGGAGGATGTATGTCGCCTCAGGACCCTGTGATGATTGCATTAACTGCACAAATTGTTTGCAGAGCATGTGTGTTTGAACTATATGAAATCTGAGCACCTTGAAAAAAGAACAGGATAACAGCAATGTTCAGGGAACAAGAGAGACAACCTTGAACTCTGACCGCTGGTGAGCCGGGCAGAACAGAGCCACATTTCTCTTCTTTCAAAAGCAAATGGAAGAAATATCGCTGAATTCTTTTTCTCAGCAAGGAACATCCCTAAGAAAGCAAATGCATCCCTGAGGGTGGGCCTCTAAAATGGCCCCCTTGGGTGCGGCTGTCTTTTATGGTCGAGCTGTAGGGATGAAATAAGTCCCAGTCTCCCGTAGCGCTCCCAGGCTTATTAGGAAGAGGATATCCCCGCCTAATAAATTTTTGGTCAGACCAGTTGTCTGCTCTCAAACTGTCTCCTGATAAGATGTTATCAATTACAATGCGTGCCCGAAACTTCATTACCAATTTTAATTTCGCCCTGGTCCTGTGGTCCTGTGATCTCGCCCTGCCTTCATTTGCCTTGTGATATTCTATTACCTTGTGAAGCACGTGATCTCTGTGACCCACACCCTATTCATATACTCCCTCCCCTTTGAAAATCACTAATAAAAACTTGCTGGTTTTGCGGCCTGTGGGGCATCACGGAACCTACCAACATGTGATGTCTCCCCCGGATGCCCAGCTTTAAAATTTCTCTCCTTTGTACTCTGTCCCTCTATTTCTCAAACCAGCCGAAGCTTAGGGAAAATAGAAAAGAACCTACGTGAATTATCGGGGGTGAATTTTGCCCAATATCTGGCTGAATTTCCCCCGATATCCCTTGAGCCTAAATTTTTGTCCCTAATACTATTCTCCACTAAAAAACTAGAAGTCCTTAGAGAATAGCTGATTTCATACCTTGTGGCAGGGAGAATTTTAAATGGGCCTGAAAAATAAAACTTTTGCCAAAGAGCACAGAGCTCTGAAAGGTTTTGAGATGTTATTTAAAAGGACTCAGAAGCCAGCTGACAAGGGGCTCCCATGAGCCAAACTATGACAACTTGAACACTAGGAGAAAAATGTTTAATTATAACTAACTGAATTATAATTAGCTAATTATAGTTAATGAAAACAAGTTTGCAAAGACCTGATTATGTGATTCTCAAGAAAAAAAAAGTTTCTCTTCTCTTCAAGTAACTAGCACTTCACTCAAGTTGATTTTATTCATATAAAAAAAATGCGCAGAGACTGGTAACAGCCACCACCAACAAAAGATCAAATTTTCTCAGCTGGGTGTGGTGGCTCATGCCCGTAATCCCACCACTTTGGGATGCCAAGGCAGGTGGATCACGAGGTCAGGAGTTCAAGACCAGCCTGGCAAAGATGGTGAAACCCAGTCTGCACTAAAAATACAAAAAAATTAGCCAGGCATGGTGGCAGGCACCTATAATCCCAGCTACTCGGGAGGCTGAGGCAGAGAATTGCTTGAACCCGGGAGGCAGAGGTTGCAGTGAGCTGAGATAAAGATGAAATTTTCTTAACATAAAATATTACCAAATGAGGTTTCTTATTACTTTCCCAATGGCTACTCCTAGATTACTCATTCCCATCCACCCACCATGGTAGGAGACTCATTAGCATTCTTTTCTTTTTTCTGAGACAGGATCTCACTCTGTTACCCAGACTGGTGAACAGTGGTGCGACTGATTACAGGTCACTGCAACTGGTGTCTCCCGGGCTCAAGCGATCCTCCCACCTCAGCCTCCTGAGTAGCTAGGACTACAGGTGCACACCATCACACCCAACTAATTTTTGTATTTTTTTGTAGAGACGGGTTTTTGCCATGTTGCCCAGGCTGGTCTCCAACTCCTGAGCTCAAGCAATCCACCCACCTAGGCCTCCCAAAGGTCTAGGGTTATAGGTGTGAGCCACCACGCCCAGCGTAATACCCTTATATTACTACAAAACATTAAGTAAGCATGTCAAGGCACAGGATTTACAGGAACAAGAGAACCTTCAAATAAACCCTGGGGTCTTGAGACATACATATGTTAAAACCTTGCAGCAAACTTGAATGTGCTTTTAAATGAACTAGAAATTTATGGAACAAACTCTGTCTGGATTTGCAGGTTTAGTGGTTATAACAGTTATTCTTTCTTTCACTGTTCTCCTTGCCCTATGTTCACTATGTTCCCTAAAAGAAGTGGACAATGGACTTTCCAAGGACAAAGACAAAACAAAGACTAATATACACTTGGCTTTATTAACTTTAGTAAAGCCAGGTTAAAAAAAATAGTTTTCTGCTCCTATTAAAACATTTATCTAAACTGTATTTGCCTTGACCTCTCATAGGAGACAGCATGAGAAGACAGTCCATTCGTGGGGCTTACTACTCTCCAGTAAGGAAAAAAAAATGCCAGGAATTTAGTTTTGTTGTAATGTTGTAATGTTCCAAGAATGGTAGGTAGCTTAGAAAACATAAAGAAAATTCAAGAACACAATACTGCTTCACTTAGTGAATCCAATTCCTCCTATATCCCTAGAAGTATTCTTGGCACTGGGGATAAATAAGGTAACAAGACAAATCCCCTGACTTCATAAAGCTTACATTCTAGTGTGGAAAGCATACAATAAGCCAATATGAAATTAAATGTCCTATCTGTTACGTACTAGGAGAAAAATAAAGCAGGAGAAGACAAAGTGACAAGTGTTACTTTTTAGACAAGTTTGTCAGGAAAGGTCTCTGGGAAAACTGTAACTGAGTAGAGACTTGACTGAAGTAAGGGAATAAGCTGTATGAATATCTGAGAAAAAATTTTTCCAAGCAAAGAAGACAAAAAGTGCAAATGCCTGAGAAAGGAGTATGTTTGGTGGGCTCCTGGAAAAGCCAGGAGGCCAGTAAGGATGGAGCCCAGTGAACAAGGGAACATAAGATACGGTTATACAAGTAGCCAAAGTCAGATCAATGGAGCCTGAAAACAATGGTACTGCATGAACTTTGAATTTTATTCTAAATATCACTGGAGTCTTTGGATGGTTGACAGAGGGAAGTAAAAGGCTCTCACTTTGAATTTGGAAGGATCACTCTGGCTACTATGTGTGGGACAAGAGTAGAATGGAATGAAAAGGAAAAAGACCAGTTAGGAAGCTATTGCAGCAGTCCAGTGGAATGGTAGTGTGAAGTTCTGGAATAATAGCAGTGGAGGGGTCAAAGTAATTGAATCCAGGATATACTGGGTAGGTAAAGCCCTCCAGTGGGCTGGATGTCTAAAATGTGAAAATGTGAAATGTGAATGTCTAAAATGTGAATGTATAAAATGTAAAATGTGAAAATGTGAAATCAAGAAAGACTCCATCTTTTTAAGCCTGAACAATATACAGTGGCAATATACCAGAGGTGGTAACACTGGAAGAGAGGGTTTCAGGATAACAACAAAAATTTCCAGAGAGGACACACTAAATATGAGATCCTCTTCAGACATCTAAGAAGAGATGTTAAGAAACAAGCTGAAAGATACAGGTTGTGTTCAAAGCAAGAAAGAGCTGGTGACGTAATTTTAGAGTCATTAGCATTTAGATAACATAATAATAGCACAAAAATAGATAATAAGCCATTAAACTGAATAAGACCACCTAATACATAAGAAGATGAGCGAAGAGAATGAGAAAAAACCAGTGAAGGAGTAGGAAAAAACAAAAAAACAAACAAACAAACAAAAAAAAACCAAGACAATGCAGTGACCTGAAAGTCAAGTTTTAAAAAAAAGTTTCACTCCTGAGAGTGGTTAGCTGTGTGAAATGATCCTGAAAGGTTAAGGAGGATGAAGACTAAAAGCTGGTCTGGGCAATATGAGATCATTACATTGACAAGAATAATTTTAGTAGAATGGGAGGAAGAAAGCTTCATTAGAGTGGGTTCATGAGAAAATGGTGAAAAATAAGTAGTAATCATAGGTATAAATAACTCAAGGATTTTTGCTATGATGGAGCAAAGAAGCTGTATAGTACCTAAAAGGGGATGTTGGATCAAGAGAGGCTATTTGTGTTGAAAGGGGGTGATTCTGCAGCACCCCCCTTATGCTAATGAAATCAATGAGATGGAAAAGTTATTGATGCAGAAAAGCAAGGACAACTGCAGAACCAAAGTCCGTAATACATGAGAGGGGACACAATGGAAGACACAAGCAGAGGAGCTGGCTTTATCCGCAGTCTTTATCCCATTTTACCAGGACAGAAACAACATACGGGTAGGGATGCAAGCAAGAAAATAGATTTGATGGTAGATGAATATGGAACTTCTTTTCTAATTGTTCTCTATTTTTTATTTTTTCACTGAAATAAGCAAGATCATCACTAAAGAATCAAAAATGAGAAGGGGTGTTGGAAGTTTCAGGAGAAAAGAAAAGGTGGTGAAATAATCATCTTCAATAATCAAAGGGCCGGGCATAGTGGCTCACGCCTGTAATCCTAGCATTTTGGGAGGCCAAGGTGGGCGGATCACGTGAGATCAGGAGTTCGAGGCCAGCCTGGCAAACACTGGGAGAACCCTGTGTCTACTAAAAATACAAAAATTAGCCGGGCGTGGTGGCGGGTGGCTGTAATCCCAGCTACTCAGAAGGCTGAGACAGGAGAATCACTTGAACCTGGGAGGCGGAGGTTGCAGTGAGCCAAGATCACGCCACTGCACTCCAGCCTGGGGAACAAAGGACGAAACTCTGTCTCAAAAAAACAAAATTAAAAAAAATAATAATCAGGCACGGCGCGGTGACTCACGCCTGTAATCTCAGCACTTTGGGAGGGCAAGGCAGGTGGATCACGAGGTCAGGAGTTCAAGACCAGCCTGGCCAATATGGTGAAACCCCATCTCTACTAAAAAATACAAAAATTAGCGAGGCGTGGTGGCATCCACCTATAGTCCCAGACCAGGAGGGAGACTGAGGCAGGAGAATCACTGGAACCCGGGAGACAGAGATTGCAGTGAGCTGAGATCGCACCACTGCACTCCAGCCTGGGAGACAAGAGTGAGACTCCAACTCAAAAAGAATAATAATAATAATAATAATAATAATAATAATAATAGCAATAATAATAATTAGAGCCAGACACGGTGGCTCACACCTGTAATCCCAGCACTTTGGGAGGTGGGTGGATCACCTGAGGTCAGGAGTTCGAGACCAGCCTCGTCAACATGGCAAAACCCTGTCTCTACTAAAAATACGAGTTATCCAGGCATGGTGGCGCATGTCTATAATCCCAGCTACTTGGGAGGCTGAGGCAGGGAGAACTGCATGAGCCCGGCGGGTGGAGGTTGCAGTGAGCCGAGATCACACCACTGTAGTCCAGCCTGGGAGAGAGAGCAAGACTCTGTCTCAAAAATAACAACAATAGGCCAGGCACAGTGGCTCACGCCTGTAATCCCAGCACTTTGGGAGGCTGAGGTGAGCGGATTATGAGGTCAGGAGATTGAGACCATCCTGGCTAACACGGTGAAACCCCGTCTCTACTAAAGATACAAAAAATTAGCTGGGTGTGGTGGCGGGCGCCTGTAGTCTCAGCTATTAAGGAGGCTGACGCAGGAGAATGGCATGAACCTGTGAATCCAGGAGGCAGAGCTTGCAGTGAGCTGAGATCACGCCACTGCACTCCAGCCCAGGCAACAGAGCAAGACTCTTGTCTTAAAAACAAACAAACAAACAAACAAAAACACTAAAGCTTCAAAAAGACTTTTCAGTAGTAAAAGTAACAATATATAGTACAGAAAAAAAAACCATATGAAAAAGAATTAACAGTTTAAAGTAATACAGTAATTCATGAATGTGCACAAAAGGGTGAAATTTAGTATTCTGAGCTTCCAAGAGTAATACTCTAACTAGACCTTATTGGAAAGAAACTATAGATTATTTGAAGGCTTTCCAAGAATTATACCTATATAATAGCAACACATCTGACAACTGTAAGGATTTCTGGAAAAATGTATTTTAAAATCTATAACAATTTTTAATTTTTCTCATCTCTTAACTGCATGATATTCTGTAAGCATCAAGATGATATTCAACTTCAGAGAAAAAGCCTATCACTGTGTCTAAACTTTATCTAACAACTATTGAAAACTTTACCAATGAGAGACTATCTCCTACAGGTATCCTCTCAATACAATATGAATCCTAGTCCCTTTGATAACTTACCACTGACCTGAAAATTTTGGAAACTGCTTTGGGCAACCAACTCTAGCTACCTTTTGCAGATGCACAACATACAGCAGCTTATTTAAGGGCACCTAAAAGTCCAACAGACCAGAAACTATTTGGTCTAGTTTGGCCTAGCCTTTCACAATATTAATTCCATAACGAAACATACTACTTTTTTCAGAACACATATTAACAAAATAAGCTTTAAACAAACACTAGATGGTTCATAGGCCAGAATATACTATGAGCGATTATACTAACAGCCTGGATTACTGTTTCTCCCAGTCTTTATTTCCTTGATAAAACATTTATCTTCAGATATAAAATAATTATACTAAACCAGGGCTTAGGGAAAAAAGAGAGATAGAGGGCTCAGTTTTTTCACTTTGTCATTAGTTATCAAAACAAGGCAGATGGGAAACTTAGAGTTCAGTATAAAAACAAATGCTTAACACAGAATATTGTTATACAAATGCTACATGCAGTGTACAAACATATGCAAAGCATCATTATACATTCTTATAAATTCTTGAGTTCTGATACCTGTTTCCACAATCGTTTCTGTTTCTGTTGTCTCCAGCCCATCCATGCTGTCCTCATCTTCCACTGCAGTTTTCCCCCTACTTCGAGGTCTACAGAAAAAAAAAAAAATAATAAGTACATAGAGTTAAATGTTAAATTTTAAGGCTTAGACTTATATTCAACATAAGGCACAATTTGAAGGTATACAAAATAAGTAATTAGGGCATTTTTCCAGCATTTTACCATATCAAGTAGAAAATATCAGAGTTTACAGTCATTTTCTCCCTTAAATCCAGCACTTCCTTATACTCTAAATGTGAGGACAGACCCACATGAATATAATTGTGTCCTCATAATTCACTTAAGTATTCCTCACTCTGGTTTTGCCCCTTTTTTAGGTAACCTTCTGAAGTCTCCCTCTGTCTACAGTAGTGGCTTTTAACTACATAATGGGTTCTTCACAAAGTTCACATACCAGGTTTAACTTCTATATTTAATAAAGTTGATGTGAAATGACCAGATATATGTATTTTTAAAAGCTTTGTAAAAGGTGCTTTTGGTGACTGTGATGCAGATGACTAAAAAACAAAATTTTAAAAATTAAGCACGATTATAATCATGTCCACCTTACAAGCATAATAAAATTTAATTTATAAACACTTCAGGAAAGTAAAATAAAGGTAAGAGTCACAGCAAGGTGAAATTCCTGACAGAAAGCAATTGAAAAAAAAAAAAAAAACTAATGCCTTTAAATTCTTTGAATTGTACTAAATACGGTATAGAAATGAGTAAAAGAAAAATTAATAACACATAAGAGCAACAAGATATTACACATAAAAACTTGGAAACTGACAAAGCAGTACTCAGATAATGTCAGTGTTTTAAATTATTTCGCAGTATTTTAAACTCTTTAAAAGAAAAAGGCTGGGTAAGGTGGCTCACACCTGTAACCCCAGCACTTTGGAGGGTCGAGTTAGATGGATCATTTGAGTGCAAGAGTTCAAGACCAGCCTGGCCATCATGGCGAAACCCCATCTCTACCAAAAAAAAAATTCAAAAATTAGGCAAACATGGTGGCGTGCCAGTAATTCCAGCTAAAGAAAAAAAACAAAGAAGGGAGGGAGGGAGGAAATAGAAAGAAAAAATACAAATCAACTCAGTATTTAATTGAAAAACATAAAACATTTAAAAAGTGAAAAACAGCTGGCTGTGGTGGCTCACATCTGTAATCCCAGCACTTTGGGAGGCTGAGGCAGATATATCACCTGAGGTCAGGAGGTCACGAACAGCCTGGCCAACATGGTGAAACTCCGTCTCTACTAAAAATACAAAAATTAGCCAGGTGTTGTGGCGTGTGCCTGTAATCCCAGCTACTTGGGAGGCTGAGGCACAAGAATCGCTTGAACCTGACAGATGGAGGTTGCAGTGAGCTGATATCATGCCACTGCACTCCAGCCTGGGCGACAGAGTGAGACTGTCTCAAACACACAAACAAAAAAAAGGGGGGTGGGGGGGGGGGGACAATATGAAATAAAAGAATAATATGAAAAAAGAATAAAACAAAGAACTATGTTTTAAACAATAAGAAATCCATTTAAGTCTTGTTCTCATAAAAAAGTTAACCAACCTAGGCCAGGCACAGTAACTCACGCCTGTAATCCTAGTACTTTGGGAGGCCGAGGTGGGTGGATCACCTGAGGTCAGGAGTTCAAGACCAGCCTGGCCTACGTGGCGAAACCTCGTCTCTACTAAAAATACAAAAATTAGCTGGACGTGTTGATGCACATCTGTAATCCCAGCTACTCAGGAGGCTGAGGCAGGAGAATCGCTTGAACCCAGTGGGCAGGAGGTGCAGTGAGCCGAGATCACACCATTGCACTCCAGCCTGGGCAACAAGAGTGAAACTCTGTCTCAAAAAAAAAAAGTTAACCAACCTAAACCATGAAGGAGCTATAACATAATAATATATTAAAAATTAAGGTGACCAGCCGGGCGTAGTGGCTCACACCTGTAATCCCAGCACTCTGAGAGGCCGAGGCAGGCAGATCACCTGAGGTAGGGAGTTCGAGACCAGCCTGACCAACATGGAGAAACCCCGTCACTACTAAAAAAAATACAAAAACAAAAAGAAAAATTAGCTGGGCATGGTGGCACATGCCTGTAATCCCAGCTACTCGAGAGGCTAAGGCAGGAGAATTGCTTGAACCTGGGAGGCAGAAGTTGCGGTGAGCCGAGATTGCACCACTGCACTCCAGCCTGGGCAACAAGGGCGAAATTCTATCTCAAAAAGAAAAAAAAATTGAAGTAATCAAAGCCTAAATGGTTTTATAATTAAACTACTAAAAACTATCAAAAAGTCGGTCTTAACCAAAAATAAAAAAAAGGAAGTACCTGACTCAGAATTCCAACAAACATTGTCAAAAACTATGAATGAAAATAAAAACTGAGAACAATCCTATTGAATATAATCAGAATGCCAGGATGATTCAACATTAGAAATTTGTTAATGTTACATAACAAGTCAAGCAGTCAAAATAGCATCACTTCAAACTTCACAGGGGGAAAGGGGAAAGAAGGCAGAACTAAATAAAAAGACTACAAAACCTGAAAGATGAAAAAGGGTGAATTAGGGAGAAAACACTCTAAGGTGGATCTTATTGTTCATGGACAAAAAGAAAGAACATCTTTAGAATTTATTAAGTAGTTGTTTTTAGGCTGGGCACGGTGGCTCACGCCTGTAATCCCAGCACTTTGGGAGGCTGAGGTGGGTGGATCACGAGGTCAGGAGATCGAGACCATCCTGGCTAACACGGTGAAACCCCGTCTCTACTAAAAATATACAAAAAAATTAGCCGGGCGTGGTAGTGGGCGCCTGTAGTCCCAGCTACTCGGGAGGCTGAGGCAGGAGAATGGCGTGAACCCGGGAGGCAGAGGTTGCGGTGAGCTGAGATCACACCATTGCACTCCAGCCTGGGCAACAAGAGAGAAACTCCGTCTCAAAAAAAAAGAATTTATTAAGTAGTTGTTTTTAAATTTGATAGAAAACATTAAAATAAAGTGGAAAGAAGGGATAAGAAAATTTGATCAATCCAACAGCAGGCAGAAAAGGAATGAAAACAAATGGTACATAGAAAATAACATAAAAAGATAAATATAAATATGAATTTTCACAGTAAACATAAATGGCTTAAACTGTCATAATGATAAAAAAATTAATTTACTTGGATAACATAAGAGAACTTCAGATTACATAAAGCAAACATTTACAGAACAAAGAGAAATTGGTAACTAATCATTAGAGAGATATTAACATCCCACTGTCGGAAACTGATAGATGAAACATTATAGTTTGAAGCATTTTAAACAAGTATTTGGACAACACATTGAGCAAGCATTACTAGATTACTCTATCAATCTTCCTTTGTGTCTGACTCTGTTCAAACACAGTGGATACAGAAATAAATAAAACAAAATCCCTCCTGTCACAAAACTACATTCTAGTGAGAAGAGACAACAGTAAACAAGTATTACACATACAACATCCAACAAAAGAAAGCAAAGAAAAAGGGACTAGCTATTTTAAATAACAGATTTATAAAATAAATGTTTTAAAATAAAATTTTGTAAGGAGCCACTTTAGCACAGAACTGAAGATGAAGCAAACCATACAGATATCTGGGAGAAAAGCATTGCAGTAGAAGTAACAGCAAATGCAAAATTCTTGAGATGAGAGCAAGTGAGGGGGGTTAGAGGGACAAGAAGGATATACGGTGGCTGGGGCAGAGTCAGCGGTAGGGGGTAAGAAGGCATGAGGTCTAAGAATTTTTTTTTAATAGGATCACTTTTTGTTTAGAAACCTGTAGACCAATACAAGAACTGGGGACTGGGAGACTAGAAATCCTCGAAACAATCCCAACATGGCTGCTTCAAAGAAAATAGAGAATGACAAAATAATTCACATGCCATTATGGAGGTAGAGTTTACTTTTCATCTTTCTTTTGTGATTTTTCATAATCATAAACATCCACTTTTAAAGAAATTGGAAACCGTATGGTTTAGCTGACTTTTTAACTTAATCTCTCAGACCCATGTTTTGCTCTACTTTGAGTTTTTTCTCCACTATCTTGACCATCACTGTCTATGCTGTTGTTTGTTTTGGCACAACTGGCTTTATTTCAAGCTCGTTCTGTCTAGTTTATAATCTCTATCAACATATCAGTTATCTGCATTGCCCTACTTACTCCTTAAAAAATAATTTTGATTTTAATTTTTGCTTTTCAAATTTTTCTTCTGATTTCTATTCTTGGTTTTGGCACTAGGAAGACATGCTTTTTACGTTGATCAATTCATCAGAATTCCTTTCCTTCTGGGCAATGGACCAACTTATTGACATCATGTCATTTTCGAATTCTTTTATTTCATCGGTGTCCTTATTGCTGCTCATTGGCTTCTGCCATGTGACTTTTCTGACTAATCAAACACTATATTCTGAATGCAAAGATAATGGTCATACTCTTCAAAACCCTATCAGTTGCCAACTTTCATATTTAAACAGCAAAATAGATACATGTTTTATATTTCCATATTGAGTCAGATATTTCCAGTTTCAGTTTTTAAGGAAAGTTTGAAGTCTAATTACAAATGACAACATGAAGATTATTTATTTTAACCCTTCTTTGGGTTTTCTTCGTTCCCCTCTTTTTCCTGTCTCTTAACCCTTTCATTTCAGTGTTCTTCACTTCACTTTATTACCAAGAAATGTGAAGTAAAAGAATACAACTAACTTTATTTGAGAAAATTTTCTACCAAAACTTTATGTTCCATATTAATCTCAGAATCTGAAACCAACTTGAGTTCCTAAAGTAACATAGGAGACTTCTACATAAAGCCACATGGGAGTAAGACAGGTCAAAATTACCCTCCAGCCCAAACAACTAGGAAACCAGACAAATATAAGAAACAACCTTATTATAAGACACTGGGCAACAGGTATGGCGAAGGGAACAAAGGGAAAGAAACAGGGTGACCCCTACCATGGCACAGGCTTTCTGCTTGGCATTAATTTAGAAACTACCACACAGAGATAGGAACCCAAAATGAGAGCTGAAATGAGAAGACAGAAATCATAGGTTCAGGTGGCTCAAGAAGACTAGAATTTGTGGGACAGACTACCCAAGAGAAGAGAGGTATTCAGAGAAAGAGCTCCAGAAATCTGCAGAGGGATACCCTTGAGTTTCAACTGAATACCAATCTGCACATGTGTGATGTGAAATCCCAGAAGACTGAACAAGAACAACTTCCAGGGAGAGAGCAATTACAGAAGAACAATTCCCAGAGCTCACAGAAAGCTGCGAATCAACTGTATTGTCTCTAGCCAACTGTATTGTCTTTAGCCAGAGTGGCAAGACCTCAATGACTATGTAACACATTCAGCAGAGACCAGAGTGAGACACACCTTTAGGAGCAGGGCTAAATGAGCCACAGAACAAATGCTATTCTAGACCATCCCTAAAAGAGCTGACAAATAAGTCTCAACTTATCCTGAGAGTGACTCTGTATGAAAAAAATAAATAAGTCTCAACTGAACAATAATGATTCCCAACTTAACTACTGGGCATAATCCAATAATCCAGCTATTATAAGTATGCCTCATATGCGCAAGAATGTAAAGAAAACATGAATATGAGAGAAACAGAAGATATTAAAAATAACATGGAACTCAAAGGTAACATCAAAAGATAACATCAAATGTAAATTTCAGGCCGGGTGTGGTGGCTCACGCCTCTAATCCCAGCACTTTGGGAGGCTGAGGCGGGCAGATCACAAGGTCAGGAGATCGAGACCATCCTGGCTAACATGGTGAAACCCCATCTCTACTAAAAATACAAAAAATTAGCCGGGCGCGTGGTGGCAGGTGCCTGTAGTCCTAGCTATTTGGGAGGCTGAGGCAGGAGAATGGTGTGAACCCAGGAGGTGGAGACTGCAGTGAGCCGAGATTACACCACTGCACTCCAGCCTGGGTGACAGAGCGAGACTCCGTCTCCAAAAAAAAAAAGAAAAGAAAAAAAGAAAAAAATGCAAATTTCACATTGAAAAGTTAACATGTGATTAGAAATGACAAAAGAAGATCATTATCCCTAAAGACATAACAAAAAAAAATCTATTCAAAATAAAGAACAGTATGAAAAATGACAACACAGCTACAGTGCCCTGTGGAATAATAGCAACCTACCTAACTAATATGTGTGAGGTTGGGGTTAAAGGGATAGGGACAAAAAAATTGTTTAGTGAAATAATTAGCTGTAAATTTTAAAAGCTGTATTATTATAAGCCCACAGATCCAAGCACAACAAAATCTGAAACAGACAGACACACACACACACACACACACACACACACACACACGTACCAGTAAGGTACTTTATAGTCAAATTGCTGAAAAAGATTAATAAAGAGAAAATATTAAAAGCAGCAAAAGAAAATACACATTGCTTAAAGGGGGAATAAAGTAAAAATGACTGCAGGCTTCTTGTCTGAAACTATGTAAGCCAGAAGACAGTAAAAAACATATTTAAAGTACTAAGGAGAAAATTAAAGGAAAAACCCTTCTAAACACTGAACAAAACATGCAGCAAAAAAAAGTATCCTTCAAAAGCAACAGTAGGCTGGGTGCAGTGGCTCACGCCTATAATCCCAGCACTTTGGGAAGCCGAGGCAGGCGGATCACCTGAGGTCGAGTTCGAGACCAGCCTGGCCAAGATGGTGAAACCCTGTCTCTGCTAAAAATACAAAAATCAGCCAGGAATGGTAGCAGGCGCCTGTAATCCCAGCTACTCTGGAGGCTGAGGCAGAATTGCTCCAACTAGGGAGGTGGAGGTTGCAGTGAGCAGAAATCGCACCGCTGCACTCCAGCCTGGGCGGCAGAGTGAGACCCTGTCTCAAACAAACAAACAAACAAACAAACAGTTAACTAAAAACTTCCTCCTTTTTTCTTTTCTTCTTTTGAGATGGAGTCTCGCTATATTGCTCAGGCAGGTCTTGAATTCCTGGTCTCAAGCGATCCTCCCACCTTGGCTTCCCATAGGGCTGGGATTACAGGCATTAGCCTCCCGGCCCAGTGTTTTGTTTTGAAGTGTGCTTTGTCTGATATTAACATAGCCACTCCAGCTTAATTTGATTAGTGTTGGCATGTTTTATCTTTCTCTTTATGTCATTTTATTTCAATTGTCTTTCAGGTAGACAGAATATAATTAGGTCTAAAATAGATTCTATTAGTGGGGCATAGTGGCATGTGCCTGTAGTCCTGGGTACTCAGGAGGATGAGGTGGGACGAACACCTGACAAAAACAACCCAACTCAAAAATGAGCAAAGAACTTCCACAGACATTTTCCAAAGAAGTTATACAAATGACCAAAAAAACATGAAAAGATGCTCACGATGACTATTAGAAAAATGAAAAATCAAAACTAAGATATACCACCTCACACCCATTAGGATGGCTACTGTGAAAAATAAAAAAAAGAATAACAAATGTTGGCAAGGACGTGGAGAAACTGAAACACTAGTGCACAGGTGTAGGGAACATAAAATGATATGGGCCCTGGAAAACAGTACGGCAGTTTCTCAAGCAGTTAAAAATAGAATTGCCATATGATCCACAAATTCCACCTCTGGGTATACACCAAAAAGAATCAGAAGCAGAGTCTCCAAAGAGATATTTATACACCCATGTTCACAGCAGCATTATTCACAATAAATAAAACATAATTAACAGTTAAGTAAAATGTGGTACAGACATACCACATTGGCAGTATGTCTATGGTGGAATACTATGCAGCCTTAAAAAGGAAGGAATTTCTGACATATGCGATACTACAACATAAATGAACCTTGACAACAATCTCCTAAGTGAATTAAACCAGTCACAAAGAAAAAAAAATAGTGGATGATTCCACTTATATAAGGTACTAAGAGTAGCTAAAATCAGAGACGGAAAGTGGAACGGTGGTTGCCAGAGGCTGAGAGAAGGGAGAAACTGGGAGTTATTGTTTAATGGCTATAAAGTATGAGTTTAACAAGATTTTTTAAAAAGCTATGAAAATGGATAGTGTCTACATTATGAATGTATCTCACATCACTAAAATGTACACTTAAAAATAGTTAAGGGGTTGGGTGGCCACAGACGGCCGGGCGGGATGTAACCAGCCGCTGAGCTGCAGCCCTTCCGTGTCCGCAGGCTTCGGCCCGGCCGCCGCCGCCCATCAGCTATGGAGGAGCTTTACAACTTCCCGGCCTGCAGAGCCGGGCGCAGCAAGGGCCAGACGCGGCGCGAGCTGGCGCTGCGAGCCAACGGGCCGGCGCCTGGCGGGCACGATCGCAAGGTCGCGCAGAAGCTCCTCAATGGCCAGCGCCAGTTGCAGCCCCGGCCGCACCCTTGCCTCACCTGAGCCTGGGCTCTTGCTCTTGCGGAATCCACAGGTCTTTCTTGAAGAAATCTGTAGTCAGAACTCTGTGCTGCATTTTTATCCAGAGAAGGAACAGGAAGAGAAGAGTGTGGTCTCCTAGAAATCTAGCACTGGAGAAACGAGGAAAATTCTTCCAAGGATGGTCTCCCACTCAGAGCTGAGGAAGCTTTTCTACTCAGCAGATGCAGTGTGTTTTGATGTTGACAGCACGGTCATCAGAGAAGAAGGAACCAACATTCAAAGCAGCTGCCAACTATTCCAAGTTTCCCAGCTGGAGGAGCCCTGACCTGCACCTTCGCAGAAGCCCTGAAGCAGACACCCCAGGGAGCACCTACCAGGGGCACCCCCGGCTGGCACCAGCATACAAAGTGAGACAGGGTCTCGCCTTATTTCGCAGGCTGGTCTGGAACTCCTGAGCTCAAACAATCTACCCACCTCGGCCTCCCAAAGTTCTGGGATTACAGGTGTGAGCCACCTTACCCAGAGAGGCGAACCTGGATTGGGAAAGTCGACATTAATCAACTCATTATTCCTTACAGATTTGTATGCTCCAGAGTATCCAGGTCCTTCTCATAGAATTAAAAAGACTATACAGGTGGACAATCCAAAGTTTTAATCAAAGAAGGTGGTGTTCAGTTGCTGCTCACAATAGCTGACACCCCAGGATTTGGAGATGTAGTGGATAATAGTAATTGCTGGCAGCCTCTTATCGATTACATTGATAGTAAATCTGAGGACTACCTAAATGCAGAATCACGAGTGAACAGACGTCAGATGCCTAATAGCAGGGTGCAGTGTTGTTTATACTTCATTGCTCCTTCAGGACATGAACTTAAACCATTGGATATTGAGTTTATGAAGCGTTCGCATGAAAAAGTGATTATCATCCAACTTATTGCCAAAGCAGACACACTTATACCAGAGGAATGCCAACAGTTTAAAAAACAGATAATGAAAGAAATCCAAGAACATAAAATTAAGATATATGATTTTCCAGAAATAGATGATGAAGAAGAAAATAAACTTGCTAAAAAGGTAAAGGACTGTTTACCTCTTGCTGTGGTAAGCTAGTAATACTATCATTGAAGTTAATGGCAAAAGGGTCAAAGGAAGGCAGTATCCTTGGGGTGCTGCTGAAGTTGAAAATGGTGAACATTGTGATTTTACAATTCTAAGAAATATGCTGATAAAAACACACACTCAGGACTTGAAAGATGTTACTAATAATGTCCACTATGAGAACTACAGAAGCAGAAAACTGGCAGCTGTGACTTATAATGGAGTTGATAACAACAAGAATAAAGGGCAGCTGACTAAGAGCCCTCTGGCACAAATGGAAGAAGAAAGAAGGGAGTATGCAGCTAAAATGAAGAAGATAGAGATGGAGATGGAGCAGGTGTTAGAGATGAAGGTCAAATAAAAAGTTCAAAAACTAAAGGACTCTGAAGCTGAGCTCCAGTGGCGCCGTGAGCTAATGAAAAAGAATTTGGAAGCACAGCACAAAGAATTAGAGGAAAAACGTCGTCAGTTTGAGGATGAGAAGGCAAACTGGGAAGCTCAACAACATATTTTAGAACAGAACTCTTCGAGAACCTTGGAAAAGAACAAGAAGAAAGGGAAGATCTTTTAAACTCTCTATTGACCACCAGTTACGTATTAGTTGCCAATATGCCAGCTTGGACATCAGTGTTTGTTGGATCCGTTTGACCAATATGCACCAGTTTCATCCATAATGATGGATTTAACAGCGTGACAAAAATTATTTTTTCTTGTTTTTCTTGATGGAGATTAAGATGCCTTGAATTGTCTAGGGTGTTGTGTACTTAGAAAGTAACAGCTCTAAGTACCTTTCCTACATTTTCTTTTTCTTTTTTTTATTAAACAGATATCTTCAGTTTAATACAGGAGAACATTTTACTGTTGTACAATCATGTTCTCGTGGTTTGATTGTTTACAGCCTATTCCAAAATAAAAGGACTGTGGAAGGTTAAAAAAAAAAAATAGTTAAGGGCCAGGAGCAGTGGCTCACACCTGTAATCCCAGCACTTTGGAAGGCCAAGGCAGGCAGATCACTTGAGGTCAGGAGTTCGAGACCAGCCTGGCCAACATGGCAAAATCCTGTCTCCACTAAAAATACAAAAGTTGGCCGGGCATGGTGGCACGTGCCTGTAATCCCAGTTACTTGGGAGGCTGAGGCAGGAGAATCACTTGAACCTGGGAAGCAGAGACTGCAGTGAACCAAGATCACGCCACCACACTCCAGCCTGGGCAACAGAGTGAGGCCCTGTCTCAAAAAAAAACAAAAACAAAAAAAAAAACAAGATGGCAAATTATATTTTGTGTATATTCTACCACAACTTTTTAAAAACTCAAATCAAAATCTGACTGTTTGTAAAGATCAATAAAATTGACAAGATTCCAGCAAAACTAACACACACAAAAAAATGACTACTATGGTTTGAATATCATTTGTCCTCACCAAATCTCATGTTGAAGCTTGGTCTGCAATGTAGCAGTGTTGAGAGGTGGTACCTTTAAGAGGTGATTAGGTTGTTAAGAGGGATTAATGTCGTTCTGAAAGGAGTTCTCACTCTTGGAGAAGTGAACCCACAAGAGTAGGTTGTTATAAAGTGAGGATGCCTCTCATGTTTGGCCTCTCTTTGCAAACATGTGCTTCCCCTTGCACTTCTCTGCCATGTTATGACACAGCACAAAGCCCTCACCACATGCGGCAACCCATCTTAGATTTCTCAGCCTCCAGAACCATAAACCAAATAAATCTTTTTCCTTTATAAACTACCAACTCTCGGGTATTTTGCTATAGCAATAGAAAATGAACTAAAACAGGAATGAAAGGGGATTTCACTATAGACTCCACAGACATTAAAATGACAATAAGGTTGGGTGCGGTGGCTCATGCCTGTAATCCCAGCGGGCAGATCATGAGGTCAGGAGATCGAGACCATCCTGGCTAACACGGTGAAACCCCGTCTCTACTAAAAATACAAAAAAATTAGCTGGGCGTGGTAGTGGGCACCTGTAGTCTCAGCTACTCAGGAGGCTGAGGCAGGAGAATGGCGTGAACCCTGGAGGCAGAGCTTGCAGTGAGCCGAGATCACACAACTGCACTCCAGCCTGGACAACGGAGGGAGACTCCGTCTCAAAAAAAAAAAAAGAAGACAATAAAAGAGCAGTATGAACAACTCCACACACATAAGTTTGATATCTTTAAATGAAATGGACCAATTCATAGGAAATGACAAACTACCAAAACTCACCCAAGATGAAATATGTAACCTGAACAGCTCTGTAACTATTAAAGAAATTGAATTTATAGTATGAAATTTTCTGAAATAACAATCTCCAGGCCCAGGTGCTTTCACTAACTAATTTCTAACCAACACTTTAAGATGATGTAACACCAACTCTACAGAATCCCTTCCAGAAAAAGGAGGGAACAACATTTCTCCACTCATTTAATGAGGTCAGCATTATCCTAAAGCCAAAATCAGGCAAAGACAGTACAAAGAAGCAAAACTAAAGACCAATTTCCTAAGTGAACATAAACACAAAAATCATCAAGAATATATTAGCAAATCAAACTCAGGAACATAAGAAGAGTAATATACCACACCATGTAGGGTTTATCCCAGGAATGCTACACTTGTTCAATATTCAAAAAATCAATCAATGTAATCTACCATGTTAGAAGTCTAAATCACTGGTCAGCAAACTACGGTCCAGAGGCCAAATCCAGTCCTGTACTTGGTCTTTGTAATAATTTTATCGGAACATAGCCATGTATATTTGTTTACATACAGTCTACATCTGCTTTCATGCTACAATAGCAGATATCAGCAGTTACAACAGACAGCATATTGCCAGCAAAGCCTAAAATATTTACTATGTGACCCCTTACAGAAAAAAATGTGGGAGGTCACCACCATTAGACCTGCCTTACAAGAAATGCTAAAGAAAGTTCTTCAAATTGAAACAAAAGAACTCTAAAAACATAAAAACATATTAAAGAATAAAACTCACTATAAAGATAACAATATATTCAAATTCAGAATACTCCAATACTGTAATGGTGGTACCTAAATCAGATTTAAGTCTAGTATAAATGTAAAGAGACAAAAGTATTAAATATTAACTATACATACAACAATTTGGTAATGGATACATGATATATAAAAGATATACATTATGAAATCAATAATACAAAATGTGAAAGGAGACGTTAAATGTAAAGTTGTGGTATACTGTTGAGGTTGTCAGCTTAAAATAGACTATTAACACTATAAGATGTTTTATGTAAGCTTCATGGTAACCACAAAAAAAAGGCTGTAGTAGATACATAAACCAGAAAAGAACCAACGCATATCACTATCAAAAAAATCATCAAATCACAAAGGAAGACAGCAAGAGAGGAAGACTGAAACAAACAAACTTACAAGAGTCAGAAAAATTGACAAAATGGCGATAGCATCTCCTTGCCTATCAATAATTATTTTAAATGGAAATAAATTTAATACTCCAGAAGACACAGATTGGCTGAGTGATTTTTTTTTTAATTTTTTCATTTCATTTTATTTTTTTTGAGATGGAGTCTCGCTCTGTCACCCAGGCTGGAGTGCAGTGGCATGATCTCAGCTCACTGGAAACCCCACCTCCCAGGTTCAAGCAGTTCTCCCACCTCAGCCACCTGAGTAGCTAGGATTACAGACACATGCCACCACACCTGGCTAATTTTTGTATTTTTAGTAGACATGGAATTTCACCATATTGGCCATGCTGGTCTCGAATTCCTGACCTCAGGTGATCCACCTGCCTTGGCCTCCCTAAGTGCTGGTATTACAGGTGTGAGCCACCGTGCCTGGCCGAGTGGATTTTTAAAAACAAGATCCAATGATATGCTGCCTACAAGATACATGAAACAGAAAATCAAAAGCATATCACTACCAAAAAATCGTCAAATCACAAAGGAAGACGGCTAGAGAGGAAGACTGGAACAAAGAAACTACAAGAGTCAGAAAAACTGACAAAATGGCAGTAGTAACTCCTTACCTATCAATAATTATTTTAAATGAAAAGAATTAAGCTCTCCAATAAGACACAGATTGAATGGATTTTTGATTGTTTAAGACGGAGTCTCACTCTGTCGCCCAGACTGGACTGCGATGGTGTGATCTCAGCTCACCGCAACCTCCACCTCCTGGGTTCAAGCGATTCACCTGCCTCAGCCTCCTGAGTAACTGGGATTACAGGCGCCCACCACCACACCCAGCTAATTTTTGTATTTTTAGTAAAGATGGGGTTTCACCATGTTGGTCAGGCTGGTCTCAAACTCCTGACCTCAGGTGATCTACCCACCTCAGCCTCCCAAAGTGCTAGGAATACAAGCGTGAGCCACTGCACCCAGCCAAGCGGATTTTTAAAAACAAGATCCACCTATATGCTGCCTACAAGAGACTCTCTTTAGCTTTAAAGGACTGAGGCTGAAAGTGAAGAGATGGAAAAAGATATTCCACACACATGTTAACCAAAGAGAGCAGAGGATCCTTACATAAAATAAAATAGACTTTGAGTCAAAAAGTGTTAAAAGAGATCAGAGGTCAATTCATCAGGAGAATGTAACATTTATAAATATATATACATGCCCCAATTTGGAGCACCTAAATATATAAAGCACTATCAATAGAACTAAAGGGGGAAATAGCAATACCGTAATAGTGGGGAACTTAAATACCCCACTTTCGACAACGGATAAATAATCCAGACAAAAATTAATAAGGAAACACAGACTTGAACATTACAGACTAAATGGACCTAACAGACACATACAGAACATTCTAGCCAACAGCAGCTGAATATACATTCTTCTTAAGCAGACACAGAATATTCTCCAGGATAGATCATATGTTAGGCCACAAAACAAGTTTTAACAAATTCAAGAAGAATGAAATCATTTCAAGTATCTTTCTAACAACAATTGTATGAAACTAGAAATCAATGACATAGGAAGAAAGCTAGAAAATTCATAAAGAAATCAAAAGGGAAAATCTGTTAATATGGTTGTCATATTTACAAATCAAGGAAAAATGATCATCTCAACAAATGCAGAAAAAAAACAGATATAAATGCAGTAAGACTTCTATGTCCACGGGTTCCGCATCTGTAAATCCAAATGACTATGGATCAAAAAAATATTATTTGTTTATTACTGTCTCTTTAGCTGTATACTCCATGAAGACTAGAAATTTGTTCTATTCACTGCTGCACCCCCAACACCTAACAGCACCAGATGAAACATAAGCACTCAATATATGTTTTGTTGAAAGAGTAGATGGTTCTATAACTCAGGACAAAAATATGGATTCAATAACAAATATTGAGATAACAGCCTAACAATTCTGAAAAGCAAGTTACAGTTCTGTCTCCCACTGAACAAAATAATAAAATTTCACAGGGAATCAAACTTTAAAACAAAGCCACTTAATACTGGATGTTGTGTCATTAAGCTAAGTGATAAGAAATAAGACACTTTAATACCATAAAGGAACAGGCTAAAGTGTCATAATTAGCAGAAAATATCACTAATGTCTACTTAGAAAATACAAGTTTATCAACTGAAATGTTAAAAGAGTTCTTTAAGATTGTCAGATCAACACAGTAACATATAAACATCAATAACTTTTCTATACAGCATACAGTAGAAATAATTATTCTACTGTAATAGAAAGAGATATCAACAACAAAGTTACTAGGAATAACTTTAATAAGTAATATAAAACTCTACTTATGAACATAAAGGAAGAATAAAGTATCCTGAGACACAAACCTAATTTTTTTTAAAAAGGGACAAAGGATATGAACAACAAATTCATTTTTGAATAAGAAATTCAGACACAATTAATCAACCTATAGAATATGATAAAGTGCTCAACTTTACCAAGTAATCAGGGAAATCGAACAATGATATGAAAAATGAAAACTACTGGTCAGGCCTGGTAGCTCAAGCCTATAATCCCAGCACTTTGGGAGGCCAAAGCGGGCAGATCACTTGAGGCCAGGAGTTCAAGACCAGCCTGACCAATATGGTGAAACCCCGAGATCTCTACTAAAAATACAAAAATTAGCCAGGCATGGTGGCACATGCCTGTAGTACCAGCTACTCAGGAGGCTGAGGCACAAGAATCACTTGAACCTGGCAGGTGGAGGTTGCAGTGACCCGAGATTGCACCATTGCACTCCAGACTGGGCAAGAGAGCAAGACTCTGTCTCAAAAAATAGTAATAATAATAATAATAATTAATAAAAATTGAAAAGAAATTTTAAAAATAATAATTTTTAAAATGAGTGAATGAGAAAAACAAATTCTCAATAGAAAAATAACAAATACAGTCCAACAACTGAAAGAGTGAAAGTCTCTGAACACATGAGATATTCAACTAAACAATTTTAGAAATGGAAATGAAAGCAAGGAGTATCATTTCAGATACCAAATTAGCAAAGAGTGATAACACACTCTGCTAGTCAGGTTATGGGAAAATCGACACTAGTAGGAGTGTAAACTGAACAATCAGGCCGGGTGTGCTGGCTCATGCCTGTAATCCCAGCACTTTGGGAAGCCAAGGTGGGTGGATCACTTAAGGTCAGGAGTTCCAGACCAGCCTGGCCAATATGGTGAAACTCTGTCCCTACTAAAAATACAAAAATTAGCCAGGCATGGTGGCACACTCCTGTAATCCCAGCTACTTGGGGTGGCTTGAACCCGAGAGGCGGAGCTTGCAGTGAGCCGAGATCGCAGCATTGTACTCTAGCCTTAGTGACACAGGGAGACTCTGTCTCTCAAAAAAAAAAAAAAAAATTGAAGAGAAAAACACAAGGAAAAAAATCCATGCAAAATCAATTTTTCAGAACTCCTCGATTAAAAAATAATGTCAAACATTAAGAGGAATATCCATTTTGCTTACAGACATACCTCATTTTATTTCACGTCACAGATAATAAGTTGTTTGTTTGTTTGGGGACACAGTCTCACTCTGCTGCCCAAACTGGACTGCAGTGGCACAATCTCGGCTTACTGCAACCTCCGCCTCCCAGGTTCAAGTGGTTCTCCTGCCTCAGCCTCATGAGTAGCTGAGACTACAGGCACGTGCCACCACACCCAGCTGATTTTTTATTTTTAGTAGAGACAGGGTTTCACCATGCTGGCCAGGCTGGTCTCAAACTCCTGACCTCAGGTGATCTGCCCACCTCGGCCTCCCAAAGTGCTGGGATTACAGGCGTAAGCCACCACACCCAGCGAGTTTTTTTTAAAATAGCAAAGGCTTTTGTCAACCTTGCACTGAACAAGTCTTTTTTTTTTTGAGACGGAGTCTTGCTCTGTCGCCCAGGCTGGGGTGCAGTGGGATGATCTTGGCTCAATGAAACCTCTATCTCCCAGGTTCAAGCAATTCTTCTGCCTCAGTCTCCCAAGTAGCTGGGATTACAGGCGCCCACAACCACGCCCAGCTAATTTTTGTATTTTTAGTAGAGACAGGGTTTCACCATGCTGGCCAGGCTGGTCTCAAACTCCTGACCTCAGGTGATCCACCCGCCTCAGCCTCCCAAGTGCTGGGATTACAGGTGTGAGCCATAGTACCCAGCCTGAACAAATCTACTGACACCATTTTCCAGCAGCATGCACTCACTTTGTGTCTCTGTGTTACGTTTTAGTAATCCTCAAAGTATTTTGAACTTTTTCATTATTATTATATCTGTGATAGTGATCTACGATCAGTGATATATATATATTTTTTCCTTTGGTTGAGAAAGGGTCTTGTTCTGTCACCCAGGCTGGAGTGCAGTGGCACAATCACAGCTCACTGCAGCCTCAACCTTCCGGACTCAAGTGCTCAGCCTCATCGGTAGGTGGGACAACAGGCATGTACCACCACACCTGGCTGATTTATTTTTTATAGAGATGGGGTGTCACCATGTTGCTCAGGCTAGTCTCAAACTCAAGCGATCCTCCTGCCTTGGCCTCCCAAAGTGCTGGGATTCCAGGAGTGAGCTACCATGCTATCTTTGATGTTACTATTGTAATTGTTTTGGAACACCATGAACCACGCCCACATAAGATGGCTAACATATAATGTGTGTTCTGACTGCTCCACCAATTAGCCATTCCCTATCTCTCTTTCTCCCTCTTTTCAGACCTCCCGTTTCCCCAACACACAACCATATTGAAATTAGGCCAATTAGTTAACCCTAATCCTACAATGGCCTCAAACAATTCAGGGAAAGGAAAAGTCATGTGCCTCTCACTTTAACTGAAAAGCTACAAATGATTAATCTTAGTGGGGAAGGCATATCAAAAAGTGAGAAAGGCCTAAGGCTAGACCTCTTGTACCACTCAGCCAATTGTGAATGTAAATGAAAAATTCTTGAATAAAATTAAAAGCACTATGTCAGTGAACATGAAACAATCTTGTTGCTAATATGAAGAAAGTTTTAGTGGTCCATATGGAAGATTAAACCAGCCATAACATTCCCTTAAGCAAAAAGCCTAATCCACAGCAAGGCTCTAACCTTCTTCAATTCTATGAAGGCTGAGAGAGGTGAGAAAACTGCAGAAGAAAAACTGGAAGCAAGTAGAGATTGGTTCATGAGGAAAAATGCTCTCGTCATAACATAAAAGTGGAAAGTGAAGCAGCAAGTGCTGACATGGAAGCTGTAGCAAGTTATCTAGAATATCTAACTAAGATCATTGCTGGAGGTGGCTATACTAAACAAGGTGTTTTATGTAGACAAAAGAGCCTTCCATTAGAAGAAGATGCCATCTAGGACTTTCACAGCTAGAGAGGGAAAATCAATGCCTTGCTTCAAAGGTCAGGCTGGGGCCACACCTGTTATCCCAGCACTTTGAGAGGCCAAGGTAGGAGAATCGCTTGAGCCCAGGAGTTCAAGGCCAGCCTGGGCAACAAGGCGAGACTCTTGTCTCTTTTAAAAATAATAAATAAATAAATAAAAACTGACTCTCTTGTTAGGGGCTAATGCAGCTGGTAACTTGACGTTGAAGCTAATGCTCATTTGCCACTCAAAAAGTCCTAGAGCTCTTAAGAATTATGCTATATCTAATCTGCTTGCTGTCTACATATGGAACAACAGTCTCCTGGATGACAGCACATCTGTTTAGAGGTTGGCTTACTGAATATTTTCAGTCCACTGTCAAGACCTACTGCTAAGGAAAAAACATTCCTTTCAAAATATTAGCACTCACTAACAATGGACCAGGTCATTCGAGGGCTTTGATGGATATGTTCAGAAAGAAGAATGTTACTTTCATGCCTGCCAGTACGATACATCTATCCTGCAGCCCACGTATCAATGAGTAATTTCAATTTTTAAGTCTTACTGTTTAAGAAATACATTTCGGCCAGGTACGGTGGCTCATGCCTGTAATCCCAGCACTCTGGGATGCCAAGGCAGGCGGATCACTTGAAGCCAGGAGTTCAAGAAGACCCTGGCCAACATGGCAAAACCCTATTTCTACTAAAAATACAAAAATAAGCCGGGCGTGGTGGCACACACCTGTAGTCCCAGATACTCGGGGGAGCTGAGTCAGGAGAATCGCTTGAACCAGGAGGCAGAGGTTGCACTAAACCAAGATCGCACCACTGCACTCCAGCCAGGGCGACAAAGCGAGACTCCGTCTCAAAAAAAAAAAAAAAAAAAAGTGATTCCTGTAGTAGATTTGGGCAAAGTAAACTGAAAACCTTCTGGAAAGGATTCACCACCGTAGATGTCATTAAGAACATTCATAATTCATGAGAGGAAGTCAAAATATCAACATGAACAGGTGTCTGGAAGAAGTTGATTCCAACTCTCATGGATAACTTTGAGGGGTTCAAGACTCAAGTGGAGGAAGTCATTGCAGATGTAGTGGAAACAGCAAGAGAATTAGAAGTGGAGCCTGAAGATGTGACTGGATTGCTGCAATCTCATGATAAAACTTGAACAGATTAGGAGTTGTTCCTTACAGATGAGCCAAGAAAGTGGTTTCTTAAAGATGGAATCTACTCCTGGTGAAGAGGCTGTGAAATTGTTGAATAACAACAAAGGATTCAGAATACTATATAACCTTAGTTGTTAAAGCAGTGTTTGAGCTGACTCCAATTTTGAAAAAAGTTCTACTTTTGGGTAAAAAATGCTATCAAACAGCATCACGTGCTACAGAGAAATCTTTCATGAAAGAAACAGGCAATCAATGTAGCAAACTTCATTGTTGTCTTATTGTAAGAAACTACCAGAGGCACCCCAACCTTCAGCAATCACTGCTGGGATCAGTCAGCAGCCACCAACATCCTCTATCAGCAAAAAATCTTACAATTTACTGAAAGCTCAGATGATCAGTAGCATTTTTTAGCAATAAAGTATTTTTAAATTAAAGTATGCACATTGGTTTTTTAAATATAACGCTACTGAACATTTAATAGACTGCAGTAGAATATAAACATAATATTTACATGCACTGGTAAACCAAAATATTTGTGTGCCTTGCTTTATGGTGATACTCACTTTATTGTGGTAGTCTATAATGGAACCTACAGTATCTCCAAGGTATGCCTGTATTTACTTTGGTACCAATTCTAGATATATATCTGCATATACCCAGGTATTTAACTTCCTGGTCTCATGTTCCTTAAATAGTTAATAAGAAAGAGTAATTATGAACCATGCAGAGCAATTAACAAGCCTAACTTCCAATATTTTCTTCACTCTGAAGTAAGTATTTCCAACAGTGTATTATGTCAGAAGTTCTCAGTTTTGGGGGTGCTGTATCTTAATTTTTCTGTACTCTATTTTCAACTTCACTGAAATAATACAAGCTCTATCTTCCTTACAAATTTATAAGGAATCAAATGAAATGAAATATATAAAAGTTGTCCTCTTTCTCCCATCTTCAAAAAACTTCCCCCGCACTTCATTTCCTGTTAGCCCTCTCTCCTTCAACAGCCTGGTCTGTAGAAAGAGTCCATACATGGCCTCCCTCCACTCCCTCATCTTCCATTCATTCCTTGTTCCAAGGCCCTCCCAACACCACTGAAACTTTTTTCAATGCCCTTTTTTTAAATTATTATTATTTTTTTAAAAAGCAAATTCTGCCCCCATCTTTTCATTCTTTCAGTTGAACCACTTTTTCCAAAACACTGTGCAGATATAAAAAATACGTAGTTAAGGCCAGGGTGCAGTGGCTCATGCCTGTATTCCCAGCACTTCGGGAGTCCAAGGCAGGCAGAACACAGGTCTGGAGTTCAAGACCAGCCTGGTCAACATGGTGAAACCCCATCTCTACTAAATATACAAAAATAAGCCAGGCGTGGTGGTGGGCACCTGTAATCCCAGCTACTCAGGAGGCTGAGGCAGGAGAATCGCCTGAACCCAGAAGGTGGAGGTTGCAGTGAGCCGAGATCATGCCACTGCACTCCAGCCTAGGCGACAGAGTAAGACTCTGTCTCCAAAAAACAAACAAACAAAAATGGACAAAGGAGCCAGGCGTGGTGGTGCACACATAGAGCCCCAGCTACTCAGAGGCTGAAGTAGGAGGATCACTTGAGCTAGAGGATCACTTGACCCCAGGAGTTCAAGGCTGCAGTGAGCTAGAACTGTGCCACTGCAATCCAGCCTGTGTGACAGAGTAAGACTCCATCAAAAAAGACAAGGACAAAGACATGACAAGAGAGAAAAAATAAGTATAAAAGACAGAGAGAGAGAGACTTCAAAAAGGAGGACAGGGCAGGGCACAGTGGCCCATGCCTGTAATCCCAGCACTTTAGGAGGCTGTAATGGGAGGATCACTTGAGCCCATGGGTTCGAGACCAGCCTAGGCAACACAGCGAGACCCCAGTATCTACAAAAACTAGCCGGGAATGGCTGGGCATGGTGGCTCACACCTGTAATCCTAACACTTTGGGAGGCCGAGGCAGGCGGATTGCCTGAGCTCAGGAATTCGAGACCAGCTGGGTAACATGGTGAAACCCCATCTCTACTAAAATATAAAAACTTAGCCAGGGGTGGCAGCATGTGCCTGTAGTCCCAGCTACTTGGGAGGCTGAGGCAGGAGAATCACTTGAACCCAGGAGGCAGAAGTTGCAGTGAGCTGAGATCACACCACTACACTACTTCACTCCAGGATGGGCAACAGAGCGAGACTCCATCTCCAAAAAAAAAAACAAAACAAAACAAAAAACAAAACAAAAAAAACTAGGCTGGGCACAGTGGCTCACACCTATAATCCCAGCACTTTGGGAGGCCGAGGCAGGCAGATCACCTGAGGTCAGGAGTTCAAGGCCAACCTGACCACTATGATGAAACCCCACCTCTACTAAAAACACAAAAATTAGCTGAGCATGGGGGCATGCGACTATAGTCACAGCTACTCGAGAGGCGGAGACAGGAGAGTCGCTTGAACCCGGGAGGCAGAGGTTGCAGTGAGCCGAGATCGCACCATTGCACTCCAGCCTGGGCAACAAGAGCGAAACTCTGTCTCAAAAGAAAAAAAAAAAAAAACTAGCCGGGCACAGTATTGCGCACCTGTATTCCCAGCTACTTGGGAGGCTGAGATGGGAGGGTCATTTGGGCCCAGAAATTCGAAGCTGCAGTCAACTATGATTGTGCCACCGCACTCCTGCCTAAGTAACAGAATGAGATCTTGTAATTTAAAAAATAAAAGGATAGGTAGGATTTACAGACTGGAAAATGGGAAAAAGATGAGAGTGGAAAAAGGAAGGAGGGGTAGCACGAATGGCGGGCAGGTGGACAGAAAAGTAAAATTCAGCCATGTTCAAAAGGGAACAAATAAAAGCACCGAAAGGTAAGACAGACCTAGTATATTTATGACTTGAATCCCAAGCTACGAAACTGGAACATAATTTAGCAGAGAGACTCCAAAAGTTTTACAGCAAAAAGTATTAGAATCATTTATATACTGGGAAAAAATAGCCTCCTCATTTTAATAATCCAGATTGGGAAATCAGATCTAAAACAGATGTTCAATGGACATCCCATTTCTTTTGTAAAAGCAACTTGAGTGGTCAGTCATCAAGTTTTGTTCTGTTTTTAATTCACAATGAAAATCTGACTACTCATTTATTCAACAAATATTTGAGTGCCAGCTATGTGCTAGGCACTGTTCTAAACACGCCAATAACATTTATTTAGTGGGATTGATTCTGTACTCTAGAACAATGGTTCTTAACTGGGGAGAGGGAGTAATTTTTGCTCCCCAAGGGACATCTGGCAATGTCTAAAGACATTTTTGGTTGTCACGGGGGCAGGGAGGGGGGGAGGGGTGCGGGTGTGCTACTATATCTAGCGGGTGGAGGCCAGGAATGCTGCTTAACATCCTACACACAGGAGATACTGCCCATGACAAGGAATTAGCTAGTCCAAAATGTCAACAGTGCCAAAGCTGAATAAATCTGTTCAAGAGCAACACATTTCTATTCCCTCTTCCATAGTAATTGTTAATAAACATTAGTTCCATTTTCTACTATTTCTGTTCTACAATAGAGGCTTTAAAATATCTTAAGAAATATAACACCATTTTAATAATTTGGCAAGTAGAAGTAAAGATACCATGAATCCTGAGATTTCACTTTCAAAAATGTATAAGCTACATTTATTTTACAATATAACTTTTAGGAACAAAGTTGTCTTCTCCTTCTGACACTGACTGTTATCAAAAACTGTGCTAAAAGCTTTGAGTGATGTTTGATTATTCCTTTTATTTTGGGGTCCTTATAGCAGTTAATTACCACATTCTGCCAGTTCTTTCCAAGTGAATGCCTCACATTTCAACGGATCCTTTTCTATTACCAATGTATCATCTGAAATATTTTACTAACTGGTTTTTCTGAAGCTCAATGTCCATGTCTCCTTCCCTCCCAAGCTATCCCTACCCATTAATACTGTATTTTTCACCTGCTCAAAAGTCCATATGGTTGCCCGTAACATACCAAATAAGAACCTAATTCCTAAAGCTTGACATTCAAATCCTTTTTTCAACTAGCTACAATCCACTTTTCCAACTCTTTTTTCCACTGCTCTCCCTCAGGAGTAGCCTTTTTTAGCAAAATGACTTATTCTGAGATACATAAACAACCTTTCCAGATCAGAGACATCAAAAGCCATTCAGGCTTCATTGAGACAAAAGATACGCATTCAACTCAGAATAACAGTAAGAAATCAACTTATAGGGAAACCAGATCTAGCCATGTTCTATAAACATGAGAGATAACCCTGTTGGCTCATGCCACTGTCCTTATTTATAACGGCCCCTATTTGCCTTTCTACTTCTCTGAACTCCTTATCCTTCAAATCTACCATCTTTTCAAAAACCCAAACACAGAGTCACCTCAGTCACCATTACCTGCCCTTCCCCCACCCCACCCAATGCCTGTGGCTTTCAGGTCATTTATTTTGCAATAAACTTGTCATCTCAATTTTACTGGTTCTCTTTTAGATTCAGACAGCTGAGATTATGATAGATTCATTAGTAAGCTGAATGGGGAAGAAAAGGATATTTACATTCCCAGGCCAATTTTCAATGCTTTTTGGAAGATTCTGTTAAATTCACAATTTCCAGAACTGGCAAGGAATAGGTAAATATATACACTCATATATTACTGGTAAGAGTATAAATTGGTATAATTATCCTAAAGTGATATCTGCCAACATTGAAAGTCTTTAAAATCTGTATACTCTTTGGCCTAGGAATTCAACTTGAAAATTTATCATGAGTAAATTATAAAATGTACAAAGGTTTAACTATAAAGACACTCATCTCTGCATTGTTTCTAACTCTCAAAGATTGAGGTGGAGGGGAAAATTCCTTGTCCAATAAAAAAAGACTATTCCATGAATCATTTATTTAAGTAATGTAATACTCTGCAACTACTAAAATCCTATAGTATCATGGTTATTGACATGTAACTCTTTTAATGGCTTTCTTTCCTAAGCTAAGAAAAATACAAACATGATTCCACATAATGTATTTCAAATATTTGTATACATTTTTCTACTTTTCTATATTTTCCACACATCTATATATAATTTGTGTGTGTGTGTGTGTATGCATGCATGTAAATAAAATATACCTCTAAGTCTTGTAACCTTAAGATGGTGGGGCAAAATATTTTTATTTTCTGTTGTTGATTATTTAAAATTTAGCTACATTAAATTTTTTCTGATTTAGTAAACATACATAAGGCCTATTTATAGTTGAATGGCAGTCTTACAAAACCTAAGCAACCTTAGTTTACATTATCTGTGGGAAAAGCATTTTTAGTAGAATGCTTGCACATCTTCCTACATTCCTGTAATCAAACAGTATTTATCATCAACTATGTTGGTGACTCTCACTTTGACATAGGCTGAACCAGAAATCCTAGGAAAAACTGATGATAGAAAGCTAAGGGGAAGGACAGGAAGCCGGGAAACCCTGGGAAAGGAGGGATTATATTACACATGTTATGGGAACTAGTTTGTATATGCGGGGCACAGAGCATACACTTAGATAAGAAGGGGGTCATAAAACCAGAAAGGCAATAAATAGAATGTTATGAGCATGAACTCTAGATGCAGACTGTTTAGGTTCAATCCCACCTCTGCTTCTTACTACATTTATTACCTTAAGCAAGTCACTTAACTTCTCCCTGCCGTTTCTGCCCCATCTGTATAATGGGGATAACAGACCCTACCTTAGAGGGTTGTCACACTAATGAATTCTGAGAATAGTGCCTGGTACTACAGTTAAGTGCTCATTAGTTGTCCACACTCATCATCGTCATTACTCCTATTACTATGACGTGAAGAGTTGTGCTGCTAGGACAGGAGCAGCAACTTTTCAACACCAATCACTTTTTTAGATGGCCTCCTTTCTAGCCTTGTTAGTTGCCCAAATTCTGAAAAAAAAAACAAGAACTAAGACTCTAGAAGGAGATCCGAGAGGCAGACATGTGTGTCTGTGTGTGTGTGCGTGTGTGTAGGCGCGTGTGCATGTAGATGAAGGAGGAATCAGGAGTAATGCCAAGAATGAGAAATCTGTATAAGCAGTTCAGAAAAGGGGCATCATGAGTCACTCTCCTCAGTGCTGCCCCAAGAGTTCCACAGTTTGTTCCTTACATCATTCACTTGGATAAAACCTTTCAATGTCTCTCCATGGCCTTCAGAGTTAAATCAAAACTATTCCTTGGAATGACTTAAAACCCATACTACCTCTAAAGCCTCATCTCTTGACTCTCTCGCACCAAGCTCACTGAGCTTCCAGCCCTACTGAATTTCTTCAGTAACAAACTCTCACATCTCAGAGCCTTTGCACATGCTGCTCCCTCTGCCTGAAAAGTAACCTCTACCTCCTCCAATAGCAAACTGCTACTCAACCTTCAAAATGCAGCTCAAGGATAACTCCAGAGCTCTTTCCTGATTTCAAGCTAAATGCCTCTGCTATATTATCCCCCATGTGCATAACACCACCACCACCACCACCACCACCACCACCACCACCACCACCACCACCACCACCACCACCACCACGCTGCACTGATCCACCACTAGCCGATGACTCCTTTAGAGATCTTGTCTTTGGGTATTTCCAGATACTGTCCTATACAGTAACAGATACATTAAAAATAATAATTTTAAAAATTTATTAATCACAGCTGGAAAATACAGTGAACCTACTGATTACACTGGAAACTGGTAAAGAAAGGTAAACAAGCAAACATTTATTCTGCCTTTCCCATATGAACAGTTACACTGGGCAACCAAGTAAGAGGTGATGGAAACTTTTCTTTTTATAAAACAGTATTCCAGATAATAAAATGAAGGAGTAACACAACTAGAACATTATCATTTTACAACTCTTAATGAATCAACAGATCTAGGCATTAGTCACCAACAGTTGCTAATGTCACAAAAAGAGACAACCATATTTTGTGCCTCCTGATGAAAGAATGCACCACAATATAAGAAGCAGTCTTATAAAATAAGACTGAACCTGACTCTGACCAAGCCTCTGGTTCTAACTACTCATTTGGAAATACAGAAAATAGAGAAACATCGGGGATAAACCTGGTATTGAATCTCAGGAATCAGCAAAATCCTGACTACAGGAACTCTACAGGGCAAATAACCCATTTCTTTAACAAATAAATTGTGAGAATAAAAAGGAAGGTGGTATCCTACAGATTAAGACACTTAATCGCAATAAGTAAGCCTTATTCAAATACTTTTAAAAATTGAGACGTGTTGGCCGGGCGCGGTGGCTCACGCCTGTAATCCCAGCACTTTGGGAGGCCGAGGCGGGCGGATCACGAGGTCAGGAGATCGAGACCATCCCGGCTAAAACGGTGAAACCCCGTCTCTACTAAAAATACAAAAAATTAGCCGGGCGTAGTGGCGGGCGCCTGTAGTCCCAGCTCCTTGGGAGGCTGAGGCAGGAGAATGGCGTGAACCCGGGAGGCGGAGCTTGCAGTGAGCCGAGATCCCGCCACTGCACTCCAGCCTGGGCGACAGAGCGAGACTCCGTCTCAAAAAAAAAAAAAAAAAAAAAAAAAAAAAAAAAAAAAATTGAGACGTGTTTACCTGAACATAGAATATGATGATATTATGGATTTAACTGTCAATTTTTTTTTAAGTATGATGGTGGTATTAGGTTTTTCTTAAGCCTTCACTTTTTAGAACTACATTCTCTAATATTTATAAACGATATCACATTATGCCTGAGGCCAGGTGCAGTGGCTCATGCCTGTAATCCCAGCACTTTGGGAGGCTGAGGCGGGTGAATCACCTGAGGTCAGGAGTTCAAGACCAGCCTGGCAAACACAGTGAAACCCCGACTCTACTAAAAATACAAAAATTAGCCTGGCGTGGTAGCACTCACCTATAATACCAGCTACTTGGGAGGCTGAGGCAGGAGAAGTGCTTGAACCTGAGAGGCGAGGTTGCAGTGAGCTGAGATCATACCACTGCACTCCAGCCCGAGTGACAGAATGAGACTCCGTCAAAAAAAAAAAATTAATAAAAATAAAAATAAATAAAAGCACAGACCCTACAGAAAAGACTGCCTGGGTTCAAATCCTGTGTCCATGACTCACTCTGAGCCTTAGCTTCCTCAGCTGTTAAAAAAGAAAAAAAAAAAAAAAGGGACAATAGTAGTCTTTACTTCAGAGGACTTTTGTAAGAATTAAGTGAGTTAAGATGGTTATAACATATAGTTCTCCCAAAACAGTGCTTCATAGAAGTTTTCATTATCATCCCCCTTCCCACTTTACAGAAAGAAACACGGACCTGGAGAGGTGAAAAGTGACTTGCTTAATGACTTGAAAACCATCTTCCAGGAACTGTGCTTAGCACTGGTGGCAAAAACTGGCTATTTACCAAAGCGTTTCCTTTTCCTCCTGGCATATGGCTAAACTACATTTCCCAGCTTCCCTTTCACATGACTGGTCTGGACAATGAAATGTGGGCAAAAGTGAAAGATGCCTCTGTACTACTCCCAGGCCTTGTCCCCAAACCTCCCATGCAATCCCTCACCGCTTCTCACCCTCATTTGCCAGGTGGACATCAATGCCTAGGGCAACGGAGAAAAGATTAGCCTGAGTCCCAGTATGACTTAACTGTTACTGTGTTACTCTTGAAATTTCGGCCACCATAAAGTCAGTAAGACTGTATTTTTTATGGACTCATCACAACAACCATTATTCCTATTCAACAGTTGAGGAAACTGAAGTATAAAGAAAGTCATGGTCAATTACTCAATGGTAGATCCAGAACTTGAACCAGCACTGTCTTAATACAGAGCTCGGGATCTTAAGTGACTTCCAAGATCACAAGACCAGTAAGGGCACCAAGATTTCTAACTTAGAGTAGATACATTTTATATAGAATTTTGTTAAGTATTCCTTAAAATATCACTTTAATATGCCATAAGAATAACCACAGAATAGTGTTACTTTAAAGTAAAAAGATATAAATAGGAGCCCAAAATGTTAAGTGGGGTTTTACAATCAAGAAGACACACCAGAATAAGATATTTTTTAAATACCATGTACATTAAAGAGATCATACTTCCTTACCCTAATAAACAGCCATGTAGTACAAGTTTTAACTTTTTAATTAAATATTAAAATTATTAAAAATATTAAATATACAACTTCTATTTGGTTTTATCTGAGCCATTCCTTTATACTGACAGTTACATGATGTGATTTCAGTTATATATGTAGTTATTGGTAATTTTTCAAAAATAGAATATAATGAAAAAACTTCATTTCAATCATTACTGAACTGCACCTACATTAATCACAATATACCTATGAAAAGATGTATAACATATACTAGTATGCCAAAAAAAAAAGTGACAAAACAGTATTTATAGTATAATTCCATTTTTTTTTTTTTTTTTTTGAGACGGAGTCTCGCTCTGTGGCCCAGGCTGGAGTGCAGTGGTGCCATCTCGGCTCGCTGCAAGCTCTGCCTCCCGGGTTCACGCCATTCTCCTGCCTCAGCCTCCCAAGTAGCTGGGACTACAGGCGCCCACCACCATACCCGGCTAATTTTTTGTATTTTTTAGTAGAGACCGGGTTTCACCGTGTTAGCCAGGATGGTCTCGATCTCCTGACCTCGTGATCCGCCCGCCTCGGCCTCCCAAAGTGCTGGGATTACAGGCGTGAGCCACCGCGCCCGGCCTAATTCCATTTGTTTTCAAAGAATATATATGCCTATGTCTGTATTTTTTTCTACATACATACACGTCTTATCTACAAACCAAAAACATCTAGAAAAATATACAAAAAAAGCTTCCAGTGATAACCTCTGGGGAGTAAAACTGAACTTGTGATGTATACCTTTTCTTAGAATTTGAATTTATGAAAAGCACATATACCTTTAGAATAAAAAATACTTTAAAGCTCTATCATTTACAGTAATGCAAAGTGATCCAACTCTGAAATTCCCACATAATCATGTTATGCAGTGAAGCTTTCTAGGCTGGGGGGAAAAAATGTAACCTCTTCAAAAAAAAAAAATAAATAAATAAAAATAAAATAAAAAAATTGTAACCTCTTATAATGAATATATAAATATATATAATTTCATTAATTTCATTCATTATGGGTATACATTTATACATCTATTTACAAGTAAGTCTGTTTAAATACACATATCCACACCTGCTAAATAAATAAGTATGCTCTGGCCAGGCGTGGTGGATCACGCCTGTAATCCCAACACTTTGGAATGCCGAGGTGGGTGGACCTCCTGAGGTCAGGAGTTCAAGACCAGACTTGTCGACATGGTGAAACCCCGTCTCTACTAAAAATACAAAAATTAGCCGGGCATGGTGGTGTGTGCCAGTAGTCCCAGCTACTCGGGAGGCTGAGGCAGAAGAATCGCTTGAACCCGGGAGGCGGAGGTTGCGTAAGCCGAGATTGTGGCACCGCACTCCAGCCTGGGCGACAGAGCGAGACTGTCTCAAAAAAACAGAAACAAACGAAAAAAGTATCTAATCAGGAGATTTTGGTAAGCTTTTCAAGCACACCCTTTTTTGTGAAACTGAGTTCTAACCTGAAGAATACCTGGGATTGTATGGCGAAAAAACACAATATATTAAAATTTTAAAACAGTTCTTATTTTAGGCTCAAATTTTATGTTTTGGGGACTACTTAGACTTTTTTTTTTTTCCTGGGATGGAGTTTTGCTCCTGTTGCTCAGGCTGGAGTGCAATGGCGTGATCTTGGGTTACTGCAATCTCTGCCTCCCGGGTTCAAGCGATTCTCCTGCCTCAGCCTCCCAAGTAGCTGGGATTACAGGCATGCACCACCATGCACAGCTAATTTTGTATTTTTAGTAGAGACAGGGTTTCTCCGTGTTGGTCATACTGGTCTCAAACTCCCAACCTCAGGTTATCCGCCTACCTCGGACTCCCAAAGTGCTGGGATTATAGGCATGAGCCACCGCGCCCGACCAACTTTTTGTATTTTTAGTAGAGATGGGGTTTCACCGTGTTAGCAAGGATAGTCTCGACCTCCTGGCCTCGTGATCTGCCCGCCTCAGCCTCCCAAAGTGCTGGGATTACAGGCATGAGCCACTGCGCCCAGCCAACTGTCACTCTTAATTTTTTTAAATTAAAAGAAATTAAATTTCTCAATTCTGGAGACTGGAAGTCCCAGCTACTCGGGAGGCTGAGGTAGGAGAATCACTTGAACCTGGGAGGCCGAGACTGCAGTGAGCAGAGATCGTGCAGCCTGGTGACAGAGTGAGACTCCGTCTCAAAAAAAAAAAAAAAAAAAATACTGTCACTTACGTCACTCAGTTTGTGGTATTTTGTTATGGTAGCTCTAGCAAACTGATAGGAGAGGCCTCTAGTTTACACTATTTAAATTTTCTAATTATTTACTTTTTTTTTTTTTAAATACCTGGTGGAGTGCAGTGGCACAATCACAGCTTACTGCAGCCTCGAACTCTTGGCCTCAAGCAATCCTCCCAAGTAGCTGGGACTACAGGCATGCACCACCATACCTGGCTAAGTTTTATTTTTTTGTAGACATGAGGTTTCACTATGTTACTCAGGCTGGTCTTAAACTCTTAAGCTCAAGTGATCCTCCAGCCTTGGACTCCCAAAGTGCTGGGATTACAGGTGTGAGCCACCATGCTCGGCCTACACGAACTTTTTTTAAACTAGCAGGGGTTATGTGAATAGTGGGATTACAGACATTTTCTTCATTATGCTGGTCCATATTTAAATCCTCTCCCCCTCGCAAAAAAAGGTAAAAATATACAGCCATAAAAAAGAATGGAATCATGTCCTTCGCAGCAACATGGATGGAGCTGGAGGCTACACTCTTTTTCATCCTCTATCCTAAAAGAAGTAACTCAGAACCAGAAAATCAAATACCACATGGTCTCATTTGTAAGTGGGAGCTAAACAATGAGTACATGTGAACATAAAGATGGAAGTAATAGACTAGAGATTCCAAAAGAGAAGGTAGAAGAGGAGGCACACAGGTTGAAAACTACCTATTGGGTACTAGGGTCACTTTGGATGATGGCTGCGCTAGCAGGCCAAACCTCGGCATTACATAATCTAGCCATGTAACAAACCTGCACGTGTACCCCCTGAATCTAAAATAAAATAAATTTTTTTTTAAATTGTAAAGAAAAAAAGTATTAAATGACATAACTAAATATTCTAGACATCATTCTACCATAAGTTGTCCAAGAAAAACCACATTTTACCTTACTGTTTATCATTTGAAATAAAATATTATGTTAAGATATTTTAAATTTTTACCAGTTCCACAAAGGAACTAGGAAGTAGAAACTGAAGAACACTTTGTTAAACAAGTCCTTGGGGATTAAAGAAGTAATAGCTACGAAGTATACAACAGTGTGATGAGTGAATCCTTCTCATATTGGGGTTAAAATGGTCATTATAGCTACTGAGTACCACAAATCCAATCAAGTTAGGTATTTTGTATACATTATCATTTAATTCTCATTACAACCCATCACAATAGATGTTAATTAGTATGTCCCCTATTTTTCGGATAAGGACATTCAAGATCAAACAGATTAAATGGTCAAGGTCATACAACTAAGAAATGAAAGTGCTGAGACTCAAACCCAAGTTCATGTCTTAAATCCCATGCCGTTTGATATTAAGGACCATGTGTGTTTAACAAATATTAGACACCTGCTACACACACACACACTGTGCCAGATGTATAAGATAGAGCCATGACCCAAGAAATACAGTCACTATTCTCAAAAAACTTAGAATCTCTGCCAGGAGCAACGGCTCACGCCTGTAATCCCAGCACTTTGGGAGGCCGAGGCAGATGGATCACGAGGTCAGGAGTTCAAGACCAGCCTGGCTAAGATGGTGAAACCCCGTCTCTACTAAAACTACAAAAATTAGCCAGTCATGGTGGCAGGCGCCTGTAATCCCAGCTACTTGGGAGGCTGAGGCAGAGAACTGCTTGAACCAGGGAGGCGGAGGCTGCAGTGAGCCGAGATTGCACCACTGCACTCCAGCCTGGGCGACAGAGTGAGACTGTCTCCAAAAAAAAAAAAAAAAAAAAAAAAAGCCTTAAAATCTCCTCTTTAACATTCTGTTGCATGTATGTTTTTCCTAGGTTTTTTGTCGTTGTTTGTTTTTTGTTTGTTTTTTTGTTTTTGAGACAGTCTTGCTCTGCCACCCAGGCTGAAGTGCACTGACTGGTTCCATCTCAGCTCACTGCAACCTCCGCCTCCCGGGTGCAAGCCATTCTCCCGCCTCAGCCTCCCGAGTAGCTGAGATTATGGTGCCTGCCACCACGCCTAGCTAGTTTTTGTATTTTTAGTAGAGACAGGGTTTTGCCATGTTGAACAGGCTGGTCTTGAACTCCTGACCTTAGGTAATCTGCCTGCCTTGGCCTCCCAAAGCAATGGGATTACAGACATGAGCCACTGCATGCCCGGCCTTTTTTTTTTTTTTTTTTTTTGACACAGAGTCTCTGGCACACAGGCTGGAGTGCAGTGGCACAGCTCACTGCAACCTCTGCCTCCCAGGTTCAAGCAATTCTCCTACCTCAGCCTCCTGAGTAGCTGGGATTACAGGCACACACCACCACACCGGGCTAATTTTTGTATTTTTAGTAGATACGGGGTTTCACTATATTCACCAGGCTGGTCTCGGCCTCAGCCTCCCAAAGTGCTGGGATTACAGGCGTGAGCCACTGTGGCCGTTCTTGTTTTTCCTGTCTTTGTAACTAGACTTTAAAGCTCCTCAAAAGAGCTGGAGTATAAACGAAAACACAAAGAGCTTTGAGTCTCAGATCTGGAAAAATTCTAGCTTTATCATATACATACATAAATTTAAATGCTGGATTCCTCACCAGTAAAAGGGTCTTGGATTAAGTGATATAAAGTAGTCCTGTGCTTATCCATAGGAAATACATTTCAACCCCATACCCTACCCCTGCCTGGCTCCCATAAATGCCTGAAACCACGGATGCTACAAAGCCCTATATACACTATGTTTTATATTTTTCTTTGCCTGCAGTGAATTCCCTCTCTTGGCAATGCCTTATAAGTTACCATGCAAAAAAATATAAATGTATCTCATTTATCTGTTCTCCCCTACCCCCCACAACCCTACCTACCTCTCACAGGACCAAGAATTGGAAAGGCCTTAGTGTAGCCACCACCTAACCACAGAAATGATCCAAACTCACATACTACTACTTCTTTATTTTTCAGTAAAGTTCTCCAAACTAAAATGAAATATGCAGTTTGAAAATAGGTAGTAAAAATACAGCTTTTAAAATATATCCTCTATGCTGTTTCATAGCCACTTCACAATGACCCTACTTCCCCATTTATAACTCACCTAGTTAGTTATTAGTAAACAACTCTTAATCAAAAGTAAAAATGAAGGGCTATGGAACTGTTCTCATATCCCCTTCAGTGTCTTAAAGGCACTGTGCTCAGCATTCCACATGCATTATCTTATTGAAAGCGCAGTGTTTAATGAACTTGCCTAAAGTCACATCAGAACCACCAGGAAGCACAATTTCATTGTATTTTGTGTGAATGCCCTCCCCAGCACAACAAGAACGGAGCTGTACAATGAAGTGGTCTGGGTCACACAGCTAATTAAGTAATGGAGTTAAGGCTCAAAAACTCTTCAGTATCTGATGAGAAAGCTCACACTCAAAACCTCCAAAAAACACTGCTTCACATCACTGAAATTAAAGAACAATAATACAATATAAGTAAAATAAAATGAGAATTCCTTGTTATATAATAAGCCAGTTTATCAGCTTTTTTTGAAGGAAGAAAGGGCAACATAGTGATATCTTGTCTCTACTAAAAATTTAAACATTAGCCGGGTGTGGTGGTATGCACCTGTAGTCCCAGCTACTCTGGAGGCTGAGTAGAGGGAGGATTACTTGAGCCAGGGAGGTTGAGGCTGCAAGGAGCCATGACTGCATCACTGCACTCCAGCCTGGGTGACAGAGTGAGATCCTACCTCAAAAGTGGTGTTTTGTTTTTTTCCACCACCCCAATGCTACCTCTATAACTCACACATGATAGTTTTATAAAGATAACTACCTGGCATTCAGGTTAAAATGACAACTGCACCCAGAATAGGAAAAACTATAAATTATGCATTGGACTCTGCGATCACCAGCCCCTACTTGTAAATTTCAATGGAGATTCACTTTATTTCAAAATTAGAAAACTGATCTCAGAGTTTAAAACCTCATTTACAGCTCCAAAATATTTAGAATCTAGAATTATATAACAAATACTTACTTTCTTAGCATGCAAAAATTATTTACAAATCATTTAAAAAGGATGATCGACTTAACAGAAAAATGGGCAATGACAAACAGACTATTAGTTACCTAACCAATAGCCACTCCCCACTCACAACCTGTTCCTTACAGAGTCCACTTCCCATTATCATGGCTGCAAGGAACATCCTTGCTCTCTCACCCTCACTTGTATCTAGGACATGGATGGATACCAATCACGGCTGATGGGATTTAAGAAAAAAATCTGTTGGCCGAGCGCGGTGGCTCATGCCTGTAATCCCAACACTTTGGGAGGCTGAAGCAGGCAGATCACCTGCCTGACCAATAGAGAGAAACCCTGTCTCTACTAAAAACACAAAATTAGCCGGGCATGGTGGTGCATGCCTGTAATCCCAGCTACTGGGGAGGTTGAGGCAGGAGAATCGCTTGAACCCAGGAGGCAGAGGATGCAGTGCAGTGAGCCGAGATCGTGCCATTGCACTCCAGCCTGGGCAACAAGAAGCAAAACTCCATCTCAAAAAAAAAAAAAAAAAAAAAATCTGCTAAGGGCTTCCAGGAAAGGTTTTTAATTCCAAATAAAATAGATGTGCATGAACAAATATACTTCATCTTTACTGGTCATTGAACCTGGTGTGAACTACGAATCCTCTTTTTCTCACATGCCACATCCCTCAACAAATCTTTTCGGCTCTGCCTCAACATATGCAGAATTACTTCAACATTTCTCTGATGCCTATCATGCTTCAAATCATCTGTTACCCTGCTAATATTATCTAACATGCCTGCTTCTTCCTTGATCTCCTTCATTCTAGTCTCAACACAGCAGCCAGCATGAGAGTTTTAGAGTCTTGGTCAGATAAAGCCAGTCCTCCACTTAAAAGCCCCCAAAGGACTCTCATCTAATCCAGAGTAAAAGTCAAAAGATCTCACAATGGTCTACAAGGCCCTGCACAATCTGACTCCCCACGCTACTTCTCTTATGATGTTTTCTCCATAACTCAGCTCCTGCCACACTGGCCCTTTCAGTTCTATGAACATGCTAAGCACATTCCTGCCTCTGGGGCTTTTGCACTCACTGTTCCCCGCATCAGCAATGCTCTTTCCCCAAATATCTGCCTTTGCATTCTTATTTCTTTTAAGATTCTATTCAAACATCAGCTCACTGAGGCCTTCTCTGATGGCCCCACTTAAAACAATCCAACCCAGCCCTTCCCGTCCCTTCCATGGCTTTATTTTTTTCCATAAAACTTAACATCTTCTGACAATCTATAAATTCTACCTATTTGTTTGACTGTCTTCTCCCTTATCCCCACTAAAATATAAGCCCGTGAAGGAAGGCAATGAACTTTGTTTTGCTCACTGCTGTATTTCCCGTGCTTATGGACTACTGCCTAATACATTTTAGGTGGTAAATGATTATTTAAGTGAATTAATTTAGCAACTATCGACAACAAGCTGAGTATAAAACAGCAGGAAAATGAAAACCATCTAGGTCCGTGATAATTTAATTGAGCCACTGAATTACACCTGGACTTCCAGTCATGTGAGGTAAATTTTATTTATGGTTTAATGCATTTTTAATTAAAATTTTTCTTATTTGAAGCTGCAAAGTACCCGAAATAGGGTACTGGTAGGCAGTTTGCAAAAAAAAGTGACAAATATAATCAATTTAACTCAATCGTAAGGCATGCCAATTAAAATAACCATGAAATAATCTCACTCAAGAAAAAATAAAAGTTTGGTACATGTATAATCCCACTTAATATGACTCATTACAACAATAGTAGCATTAAAAAAATTTTAAGGGTTTTTTGTTTGTTGAGACAGGGTCTTGCTCTGTTGCACCGGCTGGAGTGCAGTGGCGCAACCATGACTCACTGCATTCTCGACCTTTTGGGCTCAAGTAATCCTCCCATCTCGACTCCTGAGTAGCTGGGACTACAGGCACGTGGCCGCACACCTGGCTTTTCTTTCCCCCCCCCAGTTAGAGACAGTGTCTCACTATGTTGCCCAGCAGACTGGTCTCGAACTCCTGTGCTTAAGTGATCCTCCTGTCTTAGCCTCCCAAAGTACTAGAATTATAGGCATGAGCCACAGTGCCTAACCATTTTTAAGTTTTGTTTTGTTTTGTTTTGTTTTGTTTTTGAGACAGTCTCCCTCTGTCACTCAGGCTGGAGTGCAGTGGCGCCATCTTGGCTCACTGCAACCTCCGCCTCCTGGGTTCAAGTGATTCTCCTGCTTCAGCCTCCTGAGTAGCTGGGATTACAGGTGCCTACCACCATGCCAGGCTAATTTTTGTATTTTTAGTAGAGACAGGGTTTCACCATGTTGGCCAGGCTGGTCTCAAACTCCTGACCTCAAGTGATCTGCCTGCCTCAGCCTCAGGCGTGAACCACCCCACTTTCTAAGTTTTATACCTAAATATTAATATATATAACTCAGTAAGAGTGTGATATCCTATCACCAGTATTTTCCCCACACTTTGAGTGCTAGATAGGACTGCCCACTCTTAGCCAATTATATAAAAATATTAGTTGATGCTGATAAAGTGCTTCCTCTTGTGCTGGCCACTTTTACATGTGTAACTTACTGCCCGCAACAATCCTACAACCTACAAAACCTTGTTTTCCCATTTTAAAGCTCAGAAGACTGAGCTACAAAAATAGATCAATGATCAGCCCCAAATCAAACAGCTACTAAGTGTGAGGCTGGGATTTGAACATAGGCAGTTCTGAAAACCAAAACCCAAAGCATTACAAACACTATCACCCATAAGCAGAGCATTCTCCTAAACTGAATGTGCCTTTTCCTGCCATTTATTCTGTGTTTGGATTCTGACCCACAACTACTGACAAAAGGTATTCAAGTAACAGCGCCAAACTTCCCAAAAGATATTTTGACAGAAAAAAATTAATTAAAAAATACATAAATGAAAAGACAAAGATTGGTGGACATCCTCTGTCTCACTTCAAGAAATCGAGATAATAACAGTAATTACTTTTTAGGTTGTTGTGAGGATTAAATAAATTAATATAGTACGTGTAAAGCACTTAGGATAGTGCTTGGCATACATTAAACCAATTAATAGTTTTCATTTTCATTGTAATTCTCATAATTATTATGAAAGGCTCCATAAATACCACTAAGCCTAGAAGGACTGACCAACAGCTATATGATTAGTAACTGGAAAAAACTATGGCCAGAGACATGTTATGACTTTAGGGATACCAAAAAGAAAACGACAATTGCTGATTTTCATTCTAGGAACAAAGTGCCAAAGTGATTTAGTAAAGAAAAAATGCTATTAGAACTCCCACTCCCATTTTCAGAAATGTAGGCCCTGCCTACTTTCTCTCCCACCAGGTATGTTGTTAGTGAGGATGCCAGGAAAAAGGCATACTCTGTTGGGGGAATCCAAGCCAACACCTCACTTTTGGAGGGCAACTAATGAATATCCATCAAAACTTGAAACATATGTACTGTCCTCTTCGATGAGAGAACTTTACATCTAGGAATTTATCTTCCAGAATATGTCCACACGTACAAATACACAAGTACAAGGATATTCCTTACAAAGATAATAAAACTGGAAATCAACTAAATGACCATCAGTAGGGGAATGGTTTAACTAATCAGAGGGCCTTCAATCTAGTTTAAAACCTGTTTCTCCACTAAGATCAATCTCTAATCTAAGTAAATGACATTTCTGTCCACTCAACTACTGAAGCCACAAATCTAGAAGACAATTTTAATTCTTCTTTATCTCATATCCATCTCATCAAATCCTTTAGCAGATCTTACCGCTGTAACTTTCCAAGCTTTTTTTTTTTTTAGATGGAGTCTCACTCTGTTGCCCAGGTTGGAGTGCAGGGGCTTGATGTCAGCTCACTGCAACCTCCACCTCCCAGGTACAAGCAATTCTCTCCTGCCTCAGCCTCCTGAGCTTTCCAAACACTTCTGATTGCCTTTCTCCTCTGCCATCACTCTACTCTAAGCCATATCTGTCAAGGTTACTTTCACAGCCTTATGGGTGCCCTGGTTTATAACCTTCTAAGGGCTTTTGCTGCACTAAGGATAAAATCCCAGCTTCTTACCACGGTGTGAAGGGCACTGCTTGGGCTCCTGCTTGCCTCTCAAATATGGTCTCCTAAGTTCCCCTCATTGCACAGTAACACCAATCGTTTATTTTGGGAGATGGGAGGATCCCTTGAGTATAACACACTTGATATGGTTTGGCAGTGTCCCCACCCAAATCTCATCTTGAATTAAAGCTCCCATAATTCCCACGTGTTGTGGAATGGACACAGTGGGAAAGAATTGAATCATAGGGGTGGTTTCCCCATACTGTTCTCCTGGTAGTGAATAAATCTCACGAGATATGATAGTTTTGTAAGAGGAAACACCTTTCACTTGGTACTCACTCTCTCTTGCCTGCCACCACGTAAGACATGCCTTCTGCTGTGAGTGTGAGGCCTCCCCAAACACATGGAACTATGAGTCTATTAAACTTCTTTTTCTTTAAAAATTACCCAGCCTTGGGTATGTCTTTATCAGCAGTAAACGCACTAATACAACACTCATTCTTGTTTTGAGTCTTCACAATAAATCCTGCTCTTCCTAAAATGCCTCCACATCATTCACGTGTGTTTCAATGCCATCACTTCATACAGACCTTCCTGACCACCTTAGCCACATGCGTTCTCTCTCATACCATTAACAGACACACTCAGTACAGTACCACATTTTATTTTCTTCATAGCACTTCTCAGTATTTGAGACTAATTACGAGAAATGCATTTATTTTGTGTTTCTCACCGTTGAAATATTGTTCCATAAGGGCAGGAGCTTGGTCTCTCTGGTTCACCACTGAATCCTTACACCTAAAACACTCCTTGGCAAATTAAGCACGTGATTCATATCTTTGGATAAATTTTGAAAAGAATGAGATAGATGTGTATAAGCTAAAATGGAAAGATGCCTAAGATCAACCACAAAGTGACAAAATCAAATCACGATATAAATTAAATGATCCCATTATCATAAAAATGGATATAAGTACATACACATACATAGAAATAGCAAAGGTATACCCATAACAAAAGTCAAGGATACAGTAATTGTCTCTGAAATGTGGGGCAAAACAGGGAAAAGAGGGTCTTTCACATTTTTTGTTTTTTATTTTAGATAAGAGGCTCACTCTGTCACCCAGTGAAACACATGTTGCCCAGGCTGGCCTCAAACTCCTGGCCTCAAGTGATCCTCCTACCTCGGCCTTCCCAAGTATTGAGATTATAAGCGTGAGCCCCCTGCACCCAGCCCCTTTTACTTTTTAAGTTATGCCCTCCTGTGCTCTTTATTTTTACCAGAATGTATTACATTCATAACTTTTTATGTGACATCTTCTAATCTTCCACATACTGTAAAAGGCTTAACACACATAATGAGTACTCAGTTTTGTTTTGGAGACAGGGTTTCAGCTCTGTCACCCAGGCTGGAGTGCAACAGCACAATCTTGACTCAATGCAACCTCCACCTCCTGGGCTCAAGGGATCCTCCCACCTCAGCCTCTGAGTAGGTAGGACTACAGGTTCGCACCACCAAGCCCAGCTAATTTTTGTGGGATTTTTTTAGGGGTAGGGTTTCACCATGTTGCCCAGGCTGGTCTCCAACTCCTGAGCTCAAGCGATCCACCCACCTTGGCTTCTCAAAGTGCTGGGATTTCAGGCGCTCACCACCGCACCCAGCCAGTACTCGCTTTTATAAACACGCAAAACACCTCCTACACCACTTAAAGCTGCTATTATATTTCTACAACCTAACACATTCTGAAACACTGGATAAATAAATATCTAAATAATTATTAGTTTTTGGTCTAGTCCAGTTTGAGAACTGAAAGAGATTCTCTGGCTCAAATAGCAGATCAAACATATACATTTATCTCTCTTCAGCAAAAGACCATTTTAAACAGTAGTTTAAAAAAATTTAAAGCCAAATTATTATTAAAAAACAAAGTAAAATTAATGGAAAGAGATCTCTTCTAAAGTAAAGAAACTGGAGTCTGGGAGAGAGGAAACTAGTGAACCTAGCATGGGAGTTGGCACTTTGGGGTAAAACAATGGACTCTTGAATGTCAGAATACAAAAGACTAATTAACAGCTTAACCCTAAAGTAAAGCCTGCCTGCCAACCATTAATTCCCACCAAGAGCTCATTGTGAACCCTTCTACTAAATCTTAAAGCTGAGTGATATCCAAGGTCAGCAGATATTTGGTTAAAAGCCTACAATATAAATGAGACTAAGATAACAACAAAAATTACAATAGAGTTGACAGGTAAGAGGGAGGGCAACAAAATTTAAAAAAAAAATAAACCTTATTAACATTTTCAGAGACTCAAGAAGATTATTAATCCATAAAATGAGAAAAGATATTGGCGGGGGAGGAAATGAAGGAGAAATCTCAAACATTTAAAATATAACTTCCAATATAAAATTAAAAGGTCCAAGAATAAATAAAGTAGAAGAGATGGCCAGACCAAAAAAAAACAAACAAACAAACAGACAAAAATATTGGGGAGGATTAATTCAGTAAGTCTAATAATCCAACTAAAAGCAGCTATAGAGAAAACAAAGAAAAGATCACTAGAGGCCGGGCGTGGGGGTTCACGCCTGTAATCCCAGCACTTTGGGAGGCCGAGATGGGCGGATCACGAGGTCAGGAGATCAAAACCATCCTGGCTAACAAACACGGTGAAACCCCCTCTCTACTAAAAATACAAAAACTTAGCCAGGTGTGGTAGCAGGTGCCTGTAGTCCCAGTTACCTGGGAGGCTGAAGAAGAATAGCTTGAACCCAGGAGGCAGAGGTTGCAATGTGCCAAGATGGTACCACTGCACTCCAGCCTGGGCAACAGAGCAAGACTCCGTCTCAAAAAAATAAAAAAAAGAAAGATCACTAAAGCCGTAACATGAAAACTTTCAAGAAGTGAAGCACATAAAGTATTTTGCTTATTGTAATGGAGAAGAAAACACATCTGGACATCTTTGAGAAATTTCAGTTTAATGAGGATAAAAGAAGGCTCTAAAGGGATGGATGAAAATATGAAACACATCACCCACAAAGGAAGAAGAATCACACAGTATCCGACTTTTCCTCACCAACAACAATGGACATAGAAGACACTGGAGCAATCCCTTCAAAACTCTGAGGGAAAACAATTTTCAGCTTAATTGCACTTGAATAAAATAATACCAGTCAACTGTAAGGGCTAATGAGGACTTTTACAGATAAGCAAGGATTCAAAACTTTATTTCTCACATATTCTTTCTTAGCTATTTATGTGGGTGTACTGCATTAAAACAAGTTAGTAACTCAAGAAATGATAAAGCTCTAATAACAGTAGTAGCACTGTGCAAAAAGAGTAAGGAAAAGTTCAGCACAAAAACAAGGCAACAGGTCTAAATACTTCTAGCCCAAACTGAAGGAAATAGGACTAAGGGAAAGCAGGGGAGGGTGGGAGGGACTTGATATGCATAAAATAAGTAATAATGACAAACCACAGAAAAAGATTGATAAAATGAATCGTGAAAATATGACAAGAAAAATGCAGTTACAGATTCAAAAACCAAGAAACAATACAAAGAAATGTAATTACATACTACTTGCCTCTGCTGTGAAAAATATTACATGATCATAATAATGTAGAAACTATTCATTAACTTTTTTTTTTTTTTTTTCACTCTGTCACCCAGGCTGGAGTGCAATGGCACCATCTCGGCTCACTGCAACCTCCGCCTCCGGGGTTCAAGCAATTCTCCCTGCCTCAGCCTCCCAAGTAGCCGGGATAACAGGCATACGCCACCACGAATTTTTGTATTTTTAGTAGAGACGGGGTTTCACCATGTTGGCCAGACTGGTCTCGGCCTCCCGCCCTCAGGTGATCAGCCCGCCTCAGCCTCCCGAAGTGCTGGGATTACAGGTGTGAGCCACCACGTCCAGCCCATTAACTTTCAAGTATTAAAGTCATACCGGCCAGGTGCAGTGGCTCACACCTGTAATCCCAGCACTTTGAGAGGCCGAGGCAAGTGGATCAGTTGAGGTCAGGAGTTAAAGACCAGCCTGGCCAACATGGAGAAGCCCCGTCTCTACTAAAAATACAAAAATTTGCCAAGCACGGTGGTACGCACCTGTAGTCCCAGCTACTTGGAAGGCTGAGGTAGGAGAATAGCTTGAACCTAGGAAGCGGAGGTTGCAGTGAACCAAGATCGCACCACTGCACTCAAGCCTGGGCAACAGAGCAAGACTGTCTCAAAAAAATAAATAAATAAACAAACAAAGTAGTAAGGAGTACAATACAGCGCATAACTGTTCTCAACCTTGACAATGTCAATGTCAGAAATGACAGATGTAAGCACATAAAGGGAAAAGGAAAGGTAAAAAGAAGAGTTGCAGCCGGGCGTGGTGGCTCACACCTATAATCCCAGCACTCTGGGAGGCTGAGGCAGGTGGATCACCTGAGGTTGGGAGTTCAAGACCAGCCTGACCAACACGGTGAAACCTCATCTCTACTAAAAATACAAAATTAGCCAGGCATGGTGGCGCCTGCCTGTAATCCTAGCTACTCGGGAGGCTGAGACAGGAGAATCGCTTGAACCCGGGCGGCAGAGGTTGCAGCAAGCCGAGATCGCGCCATTGCACTCCAGCCTGGGCAACAAGAGTGAAACTCCGTCTCAAAAAAACAAACAAACAAACAAAAGTTACTGCTTGGTACATCAAGATCAACAGTCTATATAACATGAAGGAAAGTTCTGATATAAACTGCAGAGATAACTAGCAGAGAAATTAAAAGTGATTTTTAAAAAATCTATTGGGGAAGCAGATGTAAAGAAGCCAAATCCTCCTTTATCAGAGCAGAAATCAATCATAAATCATAACATATGTATATTATATAGTCACGACAATACCACAGGAAGAAATAATTTGAAAGTTTCCTTTGGAAATTGGACCCCTATCTTTCACCATATACAAAAATCAACTCAAGAAGGATTAAAGACTTCATCCAAAGACCTGAAACTATAAAAACCATTAGAAGAAAACCTAGGAAAAACTCTCCTGGACACTGATCTATACAATTCATGACTAAGAATTCATGAATTTAAAGAATTCATGACTAAGACCTCAAAAGCACAAGCAAAAAAAAAAAAAACAAAAATAGACAAATGAGACTTAAGCTAAAAAGCTTCTGCATAGCAAAAGAATCAGCAGACTGAACAAATGGCCTACAGAATAGGAGAAAAAAGTTTCAAACTATGTATCTCACAGGGTACTAACATCCAGAATTTACAAGGAACACAAATAATCCCATCAAAAAGTAAGCAAAGGGCTGTTCTGAATACCTCACTACTGATAACTGGTAGTGAGTTATCCCAATTGATGGTTCACTGTCAGTTACCGATCAAATTCCTTGTTCTATACTCTTTACTCCCCTTTCACTACTGCACTTAACTGGTCTTAAGAAAAAATTTTAATAAAAAATTTTTAAGAATTTTAAAGTTAGCAAAGGACATTAATAGACATTTCTCAAAAGAAGACATACAAACAGTCAACAGGTATGTGAAAAAAATGCTCATCACTAATCATCGAGGAAATGCAAATAAAAACCACAATGACATATCATCTTACACCAATCAGAATGGCCACTATTAAAGAAACAATAATAATAACAGATGTTGGGGAAGATGCAGACAATGGGGAACACTTAACACACTGTGGGCGGGAATGTAAATTAGTACCACCTGTATGGAAAACCATATAAAGAGTTCTCAAATGACTAAAAAATAAAACTGCTGGCCAGGCACGGTGGCTCACGCCTGTAAGCCCAGCACTTTGGGAGGCCAAGGCAGGTGCATCACCTGAGGTCAGGAGTTCAAGACCAGCCTGGCCAACATGGTAAAACCCTGTCTCTACTAAAAATACAAAAATTTGCTGGGCGTGGTGGTGTGCACCTGTAATCCCAGCTACTCGGGAGGCTGAGGCAGGAGAATCACTTGAACCTGGTGGGCAGAGGTTGCACTGAGCCGATATCATGTCATTGCACTCCAACCTGGGCAACAAGAGCGAAACTCCATCTCAAAAAAGTAAAAATGATAAAAAATAAAACTGCTATTCAATCCAGCAATCCCACTATTGGGTATCCACCCAAAGGAAAATAAATCATTATATCAAAAAGATAACTGCACTCGTACCTTTATCACAGCAACACTCACAATAGCAAAGATAGGGAATCAATCTCCATATCCATCAACAGACGACTGGATAAAGAAAAACTGGGACACATACACACACACACACACACACACACACACACACACACACACACACGAATACTATTCAGCCATAAAGGAAGAATGAAATCATGTCTTTTGTAGCAACGTGGAAGGATGGAAGGACCTGGAGGCCATGTTCTCACTTATAAGTTGAAGCAAAATAATGTGTACATGTGGGCACAGTGTGGAATAACGACACTGGAGACTCAGAAGGTTGGGAGGCTGGGAGGAGGGTGAGTAACAAGAAATTACTGAATGGGTACACGTACATTATTTGGATGATGGATGCACTAAAAGCCCAAACTGCAGCACTATGCAATGTATTCATGTAACAAAACTGCACCTGTAACCCTTAAATTGATACAAAAAAGTTGTTTGGAGAGTGGCAATAAGGAGTGAAACAGAATTCTTGATCCTTATTATAAGCATTCTGGGCTATTAGACTTTTTTCAACCATGTACATATATTACTATGCAAAGTTTTTAAATGGACTTAAAATCTGAAAGAACATTGATCTTTTAATGAAAAACAAAACCATAAGATACTCTGCCTAAACTTTCCCTCATAATGCAATGAATAAAACTTTAATCTTTCTCTTCAGGATAAATAATTTCTGAGGCTTTAGAACCACCTTAAAAGGTATCTCTAGGCCGGGCGCGGTGGCTGACGCCTGTAATCACAGCACTTTGGGAGGCCGAGGTGGGCAGATCTTCTGAGGTCAAGAGTTCAAGACCAGCCTGGTCAACATGCTGAAACCCTGTCTCTACTAAAAATACAAAAATTAGCCAGGCGTGGTGGTGCACATCTGTAATCCAGCTACTCAGAAGGCGGAGGCAGGAAAATCTGAATCCGGGAGGCAGAGGTTGCAGTGAGCCAGGATCGCAGCACTGCACTCCAGCCTGGGCAACAGAGCAAGACTCAGGTCTCAAAAAAAAAAGATATTTGTTGACAACTAAATAAGTCAAGTTACATGATGTATAGACTATCATCAAAATTACTGAACCGTCACTGCTTATCAAAGTAAAATGTAACCAAAAATTTAATGCACAGTACTTCGACCAGACCAAAACATTCAATTCATCCATAGTTTCCTAATTTTAATACTTATTTTACCAGAGCATGAAAATCTTTTTTGTTTTTTTGTTTTGTTTTGTTTTGTTTTTTGAGATAGGGTCTCCCTCTGTTGCCCAGTTTGGAGTACAGTGGCACAATCTCAGCTCACTGCAACCTCTGCCTCCCACGCTCAAGCAATCCTCCCACCTCAGCCTTCTGAGGAGCTGGGACCACAAGCGTGTAGCACTGTGCCTGGCTAATTTTTGTATTTTCTGTAGAGATGGGGTTTCTTCATATTGCCCAGCTGGTCTCAAACTCCTGAGCTCAAGCAAGCCACCCGCCTTGGCCTCCCAAAATGGCAGGATTACAGGCATGAGGCACCACACCCCACCAAAAATGTATCTTTAACACCTGTTCTCTAGATTGATTTAGGTTTTACTGATCTTAGAGGTATATACAACCATCATTTCAAACTCAACAGATCTAAATTTAGTTTAACTTCACTTTTTTTTTTTTTTTTTTTTTTCTGCCCAGGCTGGAGTAGTGGCTCGATCTCTGCTCACTGCAACCTCCACCTTCTAGGGTCAAGTGATTCTCATGCCTCAGCCTCCCAAGTAGCTGGGATTATAGACATGCACCACCACACTTGGCTAATTTTTGTATTTTTAGTAGAGATGGGGTTTCGCCATGTTAGCCAGACTGGTCTCAAACTCCTGGTCTCATGTGATCTGCCCACCTTGGCCTCCCAAAGTGCTGGGATTACAGGCAGGAGCCACTACACGCTGCCTAGTTCACTTTGCATTCTATTTTTTCCTTTGTACCTTTTAGAAGAAGCTTTTAAATAATATAAAGATTATTATTTTTCAATCTGTCAGAAATTGACAGGGAAAAGAACTTAAAAGTTTAAATACACGATACAAAAAGATTAAAAAGTTATCGCAAATTGGCAGGGTGCGGTGGCTCACGCCTGTAATCCCAGCACTTTGGGAGGCCGAAGTGGGCAGATCACCCAAGGTTGGGAGTTTGAGACCAGCCTGACCAACTTGGAAAAACCCAGTCTCTACTAAAAATAAAAAATTAGCTAGGCATGGTGGTGCATGGCTGTAATTCCAGCTACTCGGGAGGCCGAGGGAGGAGAATCGCTTGAACCTGGGAGGCAGAGGTTGCAGTGAGTCAAGATCATGTGCGCCATTGCACTCCAACCTGGGCAACAAAAGCAAAACTCTGTCTCAGAAAAAAAAAAAAGTTATCACAAATTATTGCTCATAACAGTTTAGTTAAAATAAAGAATGTATGTAAAACTACAGAGTAATAGCTTGATAGCAAGACAAAATAGTTTTTAAAAAAATTCTAGGAAAAATATGGCTGACTAAACTATGATGAAAGATTTGAGATATCAAAAATGGGCTGGGTGCAGCTGGCGTATGCCTATAATCCCAGCACTCTGGCAGGCCAAGGTGGGTGGATCACTTGAGCCCAGGAGTTCAAGACCACTCTGGGCAACATGGCAAAACCCAGTCTCTACAAAAAATACAAAAATTAGCTGGACATGGTGGTGTGTGCCTGTAGTCCCAGCTACTTGGGAGGCTGAGGTAGGAGAATCATCTGATTCTGGGAAGTCCAGGGTGCAATGAGCCATGATCACACCACTGTACTCCCGCCTGAGAGACAGAGTGAGAACCTGTCTCAAAAAAAAAAAAGGCATCAAAAATGGCTAAAAGAAAATCTTAAACAAACCATGAGTTAACAGATTAAAAAGGTGTTCTTGTTTGTTTTTTGAGACACAGTCTTCCTGGGCTGCCCAAGCTGGAGTGCAGTAGTACAATCATGGCTCACTGCAGCCTTGAACTCCTAGGCTCAAGTGATCCTCCTGCCTCAGCCTCCCAAATAACTGGGACTATAGGTGTATCACGACACACAGCCATTTTTTTTTCTTAGTAGAGATGAGGTCTCCTGATGTTGCCCAGGCTGGGCTCGAACTCCTGGTCTCAAGAGGATCCCGCCTTGGCCTTCCAAAGTGCTGGGATTACAGGTGTGAGCCAAAAAAGGTGTGGGGCCAAAAAAGGGTTTTTTTATTTTTTGGTTTTTTTTTTCTGTTGTTAGAGGTGGAGGTGGTAATGGTTTCTGTTTTGGAGGGAGAAGAGGTAGTGGTGGTAATGGTTTCTTCTTGGGAAGGAGTATTAAGGTTTACAGTGTTTACCATTTTATTTAACAATATTCTACTACAGAAACTGAAACATTTTAGATGTTAATAAAACATCTAAAATCATACTATGATTTACTTCTCCAAAGTACAAATTACATCACAAGTAAGCCTCCATGCAATGACATTTTTATCTTTATGGAGCATCATCAATATCAGTTAAATAAATTAGTGCAAATTGTTCCTAAGGAGAAGTTTAGTTTCCACTTTACCATTAAAAGCCAAGTGCCTATGATGCAGATGAATGCATTGTACAATATATTTCAATCAAGTCACAGACTCACTTCCCCACTATCCATGAAATATAACAAAGGACTAAGAAACATTAAAAAATAACGTATCAAACTTCCCACAAACCAAAAGACAGGAAGCTACTGAATAATCTGACACTTGGATTACATTTTCATTATCATTAAAATGTAGCAAAGGGGCCGGGCACGGAGGCTCACGCCTGTAATCCTATCACTTTGGGAGGCCAAGACAGGCAGATCACTTGAGGTCAGGAGTTCGAAACCAGCCTGGCCAACATGATAAAACCGGTCTCTACTAAAAATACAAAAACTTAACCAGGCATGGTGGCACACGCCTGTAATCCCAGCTACTTGGGAGGCTGAGGCCGGAGACTCACTTGAACCCGAGGGGCGAAGGCTGCAGTAAGCCAACATCGCACCACTGCACTCTAGCCTGGGCGACACAGCGAGACTCTGTCTCAAAAAAAAAAAAAAGGTAGCAAAGGAAAAAAAAAAAATAGGTCAGTGTTTAGAAAGGATACAACTATATCACGTCTTTTACTTATTTTACATTTTGTATTGGTCTAGAAGTTGAAAATACGTGCCCAAAACAACTATACAACTTGAGCAATGATTTTAAAACAAATATGACACTTTATATTAGAAGCAGCAACTATTTATTCAGAAACATATACTATTAGTTACATTTAAAATTTATCTTGTTAGAATACACTGTTTCCAAATCAACAGTCCTTACAAAATATGGAACATATACTTCAGTATTATTTAGCTTTACTTTTGTAATAGTGGCCAAGGTGGCCGGGTGGGGTGGCTCACGCCTGTAATCCCAGCACTCTGGGAGGCCGAGGTGGGCAGATCACAAGGTCAGGAGTTCGAGACCAGCCTGGCCAATATGGCGAAACCCCGTTTCTACTAAAAATACAAAAATTAGGTGGGTGTGGTGACGTGTGCCTGTAATCCCAGCCACCTGGGAGGCTGAGGCATGAGAATCGCTGAATCCAGGGAGGTAGAGGTTGCAGTGAGCCAAAATCGTGCCACTGCACTCCAGCCTGGGTGACAGAGTGAGACTCCATCTCAAAAAAAGAAAAAAAAAAATAGTGGCCAAGGTGGATTTTGTACTCTGAATATAAACTATATAGTTTATACTATACATATGTCTACTTATAAACTAGGCACTACTGCTTCAATATATTAAAAAAATTATTCTAGAAGATAGTTTATCGTACTCAGGGTTCCCCCCACCTATAGCTGCAGACCAATACCACTCGGTAGCCTGTTGGGAACCAGGCCACACAGCAGGTGAGCGGCAGGCAAGCCAGCATTAACCTGAGCTCGGCCTCCTCTAGATCAGCAGCGGCATTAGATTCTCATAGAAGCACAAACCCTATTGTGAACTGCACAAGCAAGGGACCTAGGCTGCATGCTTCTTATGAGAATCTAACTAACCTAACTAATGCCTGATGATCTAAGGTGGAAGAGTTTCACCCGAAAACCATCCACTCCGTGCTCCCCCTGGGGTCTGTGGAAAAAACTCTCTTCCACAAAACTAGTCCCTGGTGCCAAAAAGTTTGGAGACCACTAACATAAACTACAAGGTTTTGTTAAAAAAAAAAAAAAAAAAAATGTAGCCAATGTCCCTTGAGGGTTAATATCAAATATCTTAGAATAGGTAACAGTCTAATATGAATTTAACTGTGAACATAATGAAGTTAATTCTACACTATCTAAAAAACTGTTTCACTTAACATGCATCTAATTCATCAAACTGGGTGGGTTTCTCTCTCTTTTTTTTTTGAGACAGAGTTTCCCTCTGTTACCCAGGCTTAGTGTTACCCAGGCTTAAGTGCAGTGGCGCCATCTCAACTCACTGCAGTCTTGACCTCCGGAGCTCAACCTGATCCTTCCACCTCAGCCTCCCGATTAGCTGGGATCACACAAGAATGTGCCATCACACCTGGCTAATTTTTGTATTTTTTTTAGGGTCAGGGTCTCACTATGTTGTCCAGGCTGGTCTTGAACGCCTTACCTCGAGTGATCCACCTGCCTCAGCCTCCCAAAGTGCTGGGATTAGAGGTGTGAGCCACCAAGACCCACCTTAAAACAAGTTCTTTGAAAACATATTTGCTACGTAATAGTTATGAGCTTTTTAAAAAATTTCTTCTAATGTAATTAAATTCTGGTAATCAGATTTTCAGAAGAAATATGTTAAAATGCTGGTTAAGTGGGCCAGGTGCAGTGGCTCACGCCTGTAATCCCAGCATTTTGGGAGGCCGAGGCAGGTGCATCAGGAGGTCAGGAGATCGAGACCATCCTGGCTACCACACAGTGAAACCCCATGTCTGCTAAAAATACAAAAAAAAAAAAAAAAAATTAGCCAGGTGTGGTGGCGGGCGCCTGTAGTCCCAGCTTCTTGGGAGGCTGAGGCAGGAGAATCGCTTGAACCCAGGAGGCGGAGCTTGCAGTGAGCTGAGATCACGCCACTGCACTCCAGCCTGGGTGACAGAGCAAGACTCCGTCTCAAAAAAAATAAAATAAAATAAAAATAAATAAAATAAAATGCTGGTTAAGTGACCAGAGGTTTTATTTCTTGGGTTTTTTTTTAAATCATCATGGAATTAAACACACATGAAGAAATCTGTTGAAACCCCTCAAACTTGCAATGCTATACCCGAATCACAGTGTTCTTTCAGAGACTTTTCAAATTATACAAATATTTCAAAATGCTGAGTTACTCTACTATAGCTAATAAAACTACTTAAACTAAGTGGAAAACCTTGAGAACTAAAGGGGGAGGGGATATTATTTATTCTCATTACTCTTAAATCAACCAACTTCCAAATCCAGAATATAAAACTTTTATGATTATTTGTTCTTTCCCTGTTTACAAACCTAGTTCTGATTTCATTATTAAAAATATAGGCCGGGCACGGTGGCTCATGCCGGTAATCCTAGCACTTTGGGAGGCCAAGGTAGACAGATCACGAGGTCAGCAATTCAAGACCAGCCTGACCAACATGGTGAAACCCCGTCTCTACTAAAAACACAAAAAAATTAGCTGGGCATAGTGGCTGGCACCTGTAATCCCAGCTACTCGGGAGGCTGAGGCAGAAGAATGGCGTGAACCCAGGAGGCGGAGCTTGCACTGAGTCAAGATCGCGCCCTCGCACTCCAGCTTGGGCGACGGAGGAAGACCCTGTCTCAAAAAAAAAAAAAAAAATTAGCCAGGTGTGGAAGCACACCCCTGTAATCCCAGCTACTCAGGAGGCTGAGGCAGCAGAATCGCTTGAACCTGGGAGGTGGAGGCTGCAGTGAGCCGAGACAGCGCCACTGCACTCCAGCCTGGGCGACAGAGCAAGACTCCATCTCAAATAAAATAAAATTTTTTTTAAGTTTTAATTTATATATATTATATTATAAATATTATATATAATGTATAATTTTTATATATGAGATTATGTATATATGTATATGTATATGAGATGTATATATAATATATACATCTCAGCCGGGCCCAGTGACTCACGCCTATAATCCCAGCATTTTGGGAGGTTGAGGTAGGTGGATCACTTGAACCCAGGAGCTCGAGGTCAGCCTGGGCAACATCGAGAGACGCCGTCTCTACAAAAAATAAAAGATAAAAAAATTAGCTGGTGGTGATGGCACATCCCCACGGCCCCAGCTACTTGGGAGGCTGAGGTGGAAGGATCACTGGGGTTGGAAGGTCGAGGCTGCAGTGAGCCAAGATCTCACTCCTGCACTTCAGCCTGGATGACAGAGCGAGACCAAGTCTCAAAAAAAATATATATATGGTGTGTGTATATATGTATATGTGTGTATATGTGTGCATACACACACAATTCTCTATAACTAGTGCTGTCATACTTAATGCTTTAATAAGGTTAAATACATAATAAATACAATAGTTCATTTTGTCTTTAACAGTACAATCCAAGTCAAGTCATCCTTCCAAACCAGATACAAAAATATCCTATGAAAAGAAACAAAAACTTTTTATCCTTAGGATATTTTGGGGTTCTGGCCTTTTGTTGTGCCAGATATAATACCACTTGATAAGACTTTCAGCTTCATCCCATCCCATCCTGCAACAATGTTTTCAGTAGGGCGGGATCCGTGGCTCCCAATCAAGTCCGACAACCTGATCTCATGGCAGGGCCCACACAAGAAAAAAAAGAGCATTTTATTTCGTGCAACTTTTATGGCCCAGAGAATCTCTGACCCCCCACCCCCTCAACACACAATAATCAGTTGATCTCCCTCTCCCTCCCTCTCTCCCACCTCCACACCATCTATGAGAAAGAGGAGGGGGAAGAAGGTGGAAGAAAAGGCACGAGTAGAGAAAGTAGATCCGACGTAAAGCAGGCACCTAAAAAAAGGTGGGATGGATTTCTCCAAAGCCCAGATCAGGGACTCTGCTACAGCCAGCCAGTGGAGAATGCCTCTAATGTTAACGCTTTAGTAACCACTTACAAGAACTTCCCCTGTCTACTGCTTAATTTCAAATAACCCAACAGGTCCATTTAATTACTTTGTATTATTTAAAGAAATCTAGGATTTCTTTAAATAATAAAAGGGAAACGAACGCGTTTTAACATCATTTTGCATCACAATGTTAAAATCTTGGGTTAACTCCCTCAGTAAATCTCTAAATCCTTTCCAATCTACTATCTCTGGCCAGGAAGTCAAAACTGAAATATTAACCAACTAAAATGATCTTCATTCTTTGGTCAATTTTGCAGAGCAAAAAATTTAAATAAATAAATAAATAGATCTTCAATGTGTATCAAGGATGTCCTACTTGGGCCTCACTCTCCCAAACAGAGCCTATTTTCTTCCATTTAACAAAGGAAAATTCTCATTTAAACAAGTCTAATGAAGATGTTGCAACCTGGCCAAGAGCGGTGGCTCATGCCTGTAATCCCAGCAGTTTAGGAGGCCAAGGCAGGCTGATCACTTGAGGCAAGAGTTTGAGACCAGTCTGGCCAACATGGTGAAACCCGATCTCTACTAAAAATCCAAAAATTAGCCGGGCATCGTGGCAGGAACCTGTAATCCCAGCTACTCAGGAGGCTGAGGCAGGAGAATGGCTTGAACCCGGGAGGCGGAGGTTGCAGTGAGCTGAGATCCTGCCACTGCACTCCAGCCTGGGCGACAGAGCAAGACTCCCTCTCAAAAAAAAATTTTTTTAATGTTGCAACCAATTTTTCTTCCTCATATTTATAGATGTTTATCATGTTTTTTCTTAAAAGTTTTTTAAACCACCTTTTCCAAACCTCAAAACAAGCATCTATAATTATAGACAATTATTCTCCTGGCTCCGTAAACAATTCTATTTTTCCTTCTCCAACTTTCTAATCCTCTCATGAAGCTGGCCAAATGTATTCTACTCCTGACACCAAACAACAGAAAAAGAAACAACGTAACTGCAGTCTACTTCTTTTGTTTTAATAAACAAATAAACTAGCTTAAATGCACAGTGGTCTTGGATCACATAAGAATTTCAAAATAAATGATTTAAACACTTTAAATATTGTGGTGGGGGGGATGGTGCTGGTAAATAAGGGTCAAGTTCTGACTTTCTTATTGAGGCCAAGGTCAAGAAATTACTTTTTTCAGATCTATAAAATCTTACCAACTCAGAATCCTGATTATAGATTATCATCTCCTACTCAATACTTTCCAAATCTACAATGATATAGGAATCCCACTAAAATTCAGAATAATTAAAAGGAGTTAAGATTTAAGACATAACCAAAAACCAGCCCCTCTACAAGGCAGTTGACTGTACAGTTCATGCTTGTATACAGATGGACAGACTAAGAACAAACTCTACACTTCTGAGAAAAAAAACAAAACTAAACTAACAATGTAAATCTATTCATTCATTATAACAATTTCTTTTTTCGGAGACAGGGTCTCACTTTGTCCAGGCTGGAGTGCAGTGGTGCGATTTTACCTCACTGCAGCCTCGACCTCCTGGGTTCACGTCATCTTCCCACCTCAGCCTCCCGAGTAGCTGGGACTACTAACGCGGGCCACCATAGCTGGATAATTTACGTATTTTTTGTAGAGACAGGGTTTTGTTATGCTGCCCAGACTAGTTGAGCTCCTGAGCTGAAGCAATCCGCCTGCCTCAGCCTCCTAAAGTGCTAAGATTACAGGTGTAAGCCACTGCGCCCAGCCACAAAATTTTTAAATATCATTCCAAAGAACCATCTATAATGAAATGTGAAATTATGTTAAATACATATGTTTAGAAGATACAATGCAACTTTCTAGTTTTTATTTCCACTGTAACTAACTTCAACTATGAATAAAATTCTACATAAGTTTCCATCTCAGGATTTTTGTTCTCTTTAAAATTACAAAAACTGGCCGGGCATGGTGGCTCACGCCTGTAATCCCAGCACTTTGGGAGGCCGAGGCAGGTGGATCACCTGAGGTCAGGAGTTCGAGACCAGCCTAGCCAACATAGCAAAACCCCATCTATACTAAAAATACAAAAATTAGCCAGGTGTGGTGGCGGGCGCCTGTAATCCCAGCTACTTGGGAGGCTGAGGCAGGAAAATCGCTTGAACCCAGGAGGCGGAGGTTGCAGTGAGCCGAGATCGCACCACTGCACTCCAGTCCGGGTGACAAGAGCAAAACTCCGTCTCAAAAAAAAAAAAAAATTTACAAAAGTCATTTAGAAAATGTATGAGGCCAGACGCGATGGCTCATGCCTGTAATCCCAACTCTCTGGGAGGCCAAGGCGGGCGGACCACTAGGTCAGAAATTCGAGACCAGCCTGACCAACATGGTGAAACCCTGTCTCTACTAAAAATACAAAATTTAGCTGGGCGTGGTGTCGCACGCCTGTGATCCCAGCTACTCAGGAGACTGAGGCAGGAGAATTGCTTGAACCCAGGAGGCAGAGGTTGCAGTGAGCTAATACTGTGCCACTGCACTCCAGCCTGGGCGACATAGTGAGACTCTGTTTCAAAAAAAAAAAAAAATGCATATGAAACACAAAAAGCTGGGTGTGGTGGCTGGCTCACACCTGTAATCCCAGCATTTTGGGAGGCCAAGGGGGTGCGGATCACCTGAGGTCAGGAGTTCGAGACCAGCCTGACCAACATGGAGAAACCCCATCTCTACTAAAAATACAAATTAGCCGGGCATGGTGGCGCATGCATGTAATCCCAGCTACTCAGGAGGCTGAGGCAGGAGTATCGTTTGAACCTGGGAGGCGAAGGTTGCCATGAGCCGAGATTGTGCCATCACACTCCAGCCTGGGCAACAAGCACGAAACTCTGTCTCAAAAAAAGAAAGAAACACACAGAGTTGCCAATGTGAAAACTACTCAATAAGATTTAATAAAAATACTGTATTTGGAAAAAATCTTTTTTTTTTTTTAGCTGGGATTACAGGCGCCCGGCATCATGCCTGGCTCATTTTTGTATTTTTAGTAGGGAAGAGGTTTCACCATGTTGGTCAGGCCGATCTCAAATTCTAGACCTCAGGTGATCCACCCACCTCAGCATCCCAAAGTGCTGGGATTACAGGCGTGAGCCACTGCACCTGGCCTTAACTATTTTTCATTAAGGTAATGAAATAAGTTAACTTCTCAATACTTTCTTTCTTTTTTTTTTTCTTTTTGAGACAGGGTCTTGCTCTGCTACCAGGCTAGAGTGCAGTGGCATGATCACAGCTCACTACAGCCTCAATCTCCAAGGCTCAAGCGATCCTCCCTCCTCAGTCTCCCAAACAGCTGAGGCAACAGGTGCATACCACATGCAGCTAATTTTTTATTTTTTTGTAGAGACAGGATCTCACCATTTTGCCCAGACTGATTTTGAAATCCTGAGCTCAAGCTATCAGCCTGCCTCAGCCTCAAGTGCTGGGATTACAGGTGATGGCATCCGGCCTTCAATATTTTCTGGATGAAAGAGAGGACTTATTACTAGTCCTAGATTATTATGAAAAACAGCAATATCATGATTAAAATTTTGTTCCTCCTCCCAGTACTGTGTTCTATTAATTAGATAGGAAATAGGAATGAACAAAAATAGACATTAAATCAAATGATTTTACTTTCTAAAAGTCAAAAATTCTAATGCTTTGTTTACCTATCTACAAATATTTATCTTACTACTTCTATAAATAATTGAATAAAATCTTAAATGAACTAAAAGAAATAATGGGACTTTTCACTACACAAAAGATAATTACCTATACAATGAAATGAGGTGAAATTCTTAGAGCAAATATGTCATACAACAAGCTTAAATTAATGATACGAAACAGTTAGAATGCCCCCACCCCAATAAACCATGGACAAAACACGACTGGGCAATTCGCAAGAAATACAAGTAATAAAATTCAAAAAAAGGCTGACGCGGTGGCTCATGCCTGTAATCCCAACGCTTTGGGAGGCCGAGGCGGGTGGATCATGAGATCAGGTGCTCGAGACCAGCCTGGCCAACATAGTGAAAACCCATTTCTACTAAAAATACAAAAAAATAGCTGGGCGTGGTGGTGGATGCCTGTAATCCCAGCTACTTGGGAGGCTGAGGCAGGAGAACTGCTTGAACCTGGGACGCGAAGGTTGCAGTAAGCCAAGATCGTGCCACGGCACTCCAGCCTGGGCAACAGTGTAAGACTCAGGTCTCAAAGAAAAAAGAAAAAGAAATTCAAAATATTCATTAGTCCTACTAATCAAGTAAGTAAAAGCTTAGAACTACTTTTTTTCTGTTGTTAAGATAAAGATTTTAATATATCATACATGACAAAGGTTTGATAAAACTAGACCTATCACACATTGCTAATGACATTACAAATTGATGCAACCTTTTTAGGGAGTGGCATTTCAAAACTTTAATAAAAATAAGAGATCAGGGCTGGGCATGGTGGCTTATGCCTGTAATCCAAGCATTCTGGGAGGCCAAGGCAGGGGAGATCACTTGAGGTCAGGAGTTCAAGACCAGCCTGGCCAACATGGCGAAACCCTGTATTTTTAGTATTCTACTAAAAATACAAAAATTAGTCAGGCGTAGGCCAGGCGCGATGGCTCACACCTGTAATCCCAGCACTTTGGGAGGCCGAGGCGGGCAGATCACGAGGTTAGGAGATCGAGACCATCCTAGCTAACACGGTGAAACCCCATCTCTATTAAAACTACAAAAAATTAGCCGGGCATGGTGGCAGGCACCTGTAGTCCCAGCTACTCGGGAGGGAGGCTGAGGCAGGAGAATGGCGTGAACCCAGGAGGCGGAGTTTGCAGTGAGCCGAGATCACGCCATTACACTCCAGCCTGGGCGACAGAGCAAGACTCATCTCAAAAAAAAACAAACAACAACAACAAAAAATTAGCCAGGCATGGTAGCGCGCCTGTAATCCCAGCTACTTGGGAGGCTAAGACAGGAGAACCGCTTGATCTCAGGAGGCGGAGGTTGCAGTAAGCGGAGATCATGCCACTGCACTCCAGCCTGGGTGACAGAACAAGACTCTGTATCAAAAAAAAAAAAAAAATTCAATGTAATTTAAAAAAATAAGAGATCAAGCCGGGCACGGTGGCTCACACCTGTAATCCCAGGACTTTGGGAGGCTAAAGCAGGCAGGTCACTTGAGACAGGAGTTCAAGACTAGCCTGGCCAACATGGTAAACCTTGTCTCTACTAAAATCAAAAAATTAGCCAGGCATGGTGGCACACGCCTGTAATCCCAGCTATTCAGGGCGCTGACACATGAGAATCCCTTGAACCTGGGAGGCAGAGGTTGTGGAGAGCCGAGATGGCACCACTGCACTCTAGCCTGGGTGACACAGTGAGACATCATCTCAAAAAAAAAAAAAAAAAAAAGAGTTTATATTTATCTCAAAAAAAGAGTTTATATTTATTGCTTGCTAAGGCATCAAATATAAGAAGGAAAAAATTTTAAAAAGTTCGTATTTACTAAGAACTTACTAAGTAATAGGCACAGCTCACTGCAACCACTTCCTCCCAGGTTCAAGCGACTCTCCTGCCACAGCCTCCCAAGTAGCTGGGATTACAGGTGCCCACCACCATGTCTGGCTAATTTTTGTATTTTTACTAGAGATGGGTTTCACCATGTTGGTCAGGCTGGTCTCGAACTCCTGACCTCAGGTGATCCATCCACCTCGGCCTCCCAAAGTGCTAGAATTACAGGCATGAGCCACTGCACCTGGCCTCTAGCGGCTTTCTTAACACATATACCCTCTTTAAATCTTTTAATAATCCTGTGACAAAGATGTTATTATCATCCCTATTTTATAGGTAACAAACAGATACAGATTGAACAGCTTATACAAAGTCCAACAACTAGAAAGTGATAAGACCAGAATTTGACAATAAGCAAATAGACATTAGAGCCTATATGCTTCTGAATATCTATGAAGAATCAAAAAATGCTTTTTTGTTGTTGTTGTTGTTGAGACGGAGTCTTGCTCTGTCGCCCAGGCTGGAGTGTAGTGGCATGATCTCGGCTCACTGCAAGCTCCGCCTCCTGGGTTCACGCCATCCTCCTGCTTCAACCTCCTGAGTAGCTGGGACTAGAGGCGCCTGCCACCACACCCAGCTAATTTTTTGTATCTTTTAGTAGAGACGGGGTTTCACCACGTTAGCCAGGATGGTCTCAATCTCTTCACCTCGTCATCCACCCACCTCGGCCTCCCAAAGTGCTGGGATTACAGGCATGAGCCACCGCGCCCACCCTCTTTCTTTTAAAAAAAAAAAAAAAAAAAAAGATGGAGTCTCACTCTGTCACCTAGGCTGGAGTGAAGTGGCACAATCTCGGCTCACTGCAACCTTTGCCTCGATACTCCTTCCTTAGCTTCCCAAGTAGCTGGGACTACAGGTGTGCGCCACCACGCCCAGCTAATTTTTGTATCTTAGTAGAGATGGGGATTCACCATGTTGGCCAGGCTGGTGTCAAACTCCTGACCTCAGATGATCCACCCACCTCAGCCTCCCAAAGTGCTGGGATTACAGGCGTGAGCCACCATGCCCGGCCAAATGCTTATTTTTTAACCTAATTATCCTGCCTATGGTAATCTGTCCTATAAAAATAACCAAAATATGAAAAAGGCTTTATCTACAAAAAGGTCAGCCAGAGCATTACACATAGTAACAAAAGGCAGTAGGGTGAGAAGAGGAAAAGGGGAGACAGCTGTATGGTTACATAAATTATAGTGTGGTTACTCAGTTTTTTGTTGTTGTTTTGAGACAGAGTCTCGCTCTGTCGCCCAGGCTGGAGTGCAATGGTGTGGTCTTGGCTCACTGCAACCTCCACCTCCCGGATTCCAGCGATTCTCCTGCCTCAGCCTCCTGAGCAGCTGAAGACTACAGGCGCATGCCACCACACCTGGCTAATTTTTGTATTTTTAGTACAGAGGGGGTTTCACTATGTTGGCCAGGCTGGTCTCGAACTCCTGACCTTGTGATATGCCTGCCTCAGCCTCCCAAAGGGCTGGGATTACAGTCGTGAGCGACAGCACTCAGCCCTCAGTTTTACTCAATGGAAAATTAAGCACCCTTCAAAAATGTTATAAAAGATTAACAATACGGAAATTTTCTTTTACATGTTACAAGGGAAAGTAGGTTACAAAACTCTAAATGTACATAAGTAGTATCACAAAAAAAAAAAAACTGTGTATATGAAAAAAGTTTGAAAGAGAATAGGTCAGGCTGGGTGTGGTAGCTGATGTCTATAATTTCGGCACTTTGAAAGGCCAAGGTGGGAGGATCACTTGAGCCTAGGAGTTTGAGACCAGCCTGGGTGACATAGTGAGACGACTGTCCCTACATAAAAAGATTTGTTTTTCATTTAAAAGAAAAAAAATAGACTGGGCATGGTGGCTCATGTCTGTAATCCCAGCATTTTGGGAGGCCAAGGCAGGTGGATCACAAGGTCAGGAGTTTGAGACCAGCCTGGCCAACATGGTGGAAGCCCATCTCTACTAAAAATACAAAAAATTAGCCGGGCATGGTGGCAGACGCCTGTAATCCCAGCTACTCAGGAGGCTGAGGCAGGAGAATCACTTGAACTCGGGAGGCGGAGATTGCAGTGAGCCGAGATCATGCCACTGGGCTCCAGCCTGGGCAACAGAGCGAGACTCTGTCTCCAAAAAAAAAAGTGGGGGAAAGAAAACATTTACATTTATAACAACATCAAAAACAATGAAATACTTAGGAATCAATTTAACAAAAAAAGTACAAGACCTGTGCATTGAAAATTATAAAATACTACAAACAAATTAAAGGAGATCAGAAATTATACTTCATTTGATACTTAATCACATGCAAAAAATCATTAGTTCCAGTTTTACAGTTGTTGCCGGTTATTTTTCTAACACAGATACAATGTCATACCTCTGTTTAACATCTTCAATGGCTCCCTATTGTTTACAGTTAATATTCAAAATGCCCAATTTACTTTCCCTTCCTCATTTCCTCCCATATTGGACTGTAGTCTCTTAAAAAGCAAAGGTCAGGGTCAGACACACCTGGATTCAAATCCTGACTCAATCACTTACAAGCTATATAAAAATTCATCTTTCATTTGTAAAACGTACTAATGATTCAACCCCATGTGATCAGTAATTATCAAAAAGGTAACTTCTGGTAAGCACTAGTAGTGCCTAACACATAATAGCCAGGTACTAGTTTCTCACTCCCCTTTTTCTCTTCGGTAAAGTCTGTTTTCATTTTTAAACACTCAACAAAGATGTCTTCTTTCTTCAGTTCCTCTGAGATAAGTTCTTCCTTCTCTAAGCTTCCTCAGCACTTTCTGAAATCTATTGTAAAATGTGTCATTTGCATTATACTTTGCACTGAGTTACCAGAAATTGAAGGTAGGGATCTTGCCTTATTTTGGTCTCTCCACTGTATAATACACAGCAGATTCTCAGTATTTGATTTTGCCTAACATCCTCCTTGGGTGATTAACAGAGAACAAATAGGAAAAGCAAATCTGACTAAGAATAAACCATGCTTCAGAAATGTACTTTGAAAGGAAGAGATTTTAAGTCACCTATAATCTAACACCCACACCGATCTGTGATGAACACATAGCATGAGCAAGAAATGAACCTTTGTGACTGATGCCACTAAGAATTGGGATCCTTTGTCACCGTAACATATTCTGTATATTCTGATATACACATTAAAGGAGTTTAGTATTTATCTGCATCATCCCTATCTCCAGTGTTTGGAATGTTCTGCACAAAGCGGGAACTTCTGCACAGCAAAAGAGATTATCAACAGAGTAAACAGACAACCTACAGAACGGGAGAAAATATCTGCAAACTATGCATTCAACAAAGGCCTGGCCTGGCTCAGTGGCTCACACCTGTAATCCCAGAACTTTGGGAGGCCGAGGTGGGTGGATCACAAGGTCAGGAGATCGAGACCATTCTGGCCAACATGGTGAAACCCCATCTCTACTAAAAATACAAAAATTAGCTGGGTGCGGTGGTGCACGCCTGTAGTCCCAGCTACTCGGGAAGCTGAGGCAGGAGAATTGCTTGAACCCGGGAGGCACAGGTTGCAGTGAGCTGAGATCGCACCACTGCACTCCAGACTGTAACAGAAAGAGACTCCATCTCAAAAAAAAAAAGGCCTAATATACAGAATCTGTAAGGAACTTAAATCAACAAGCAAAAAACTAGCATTAGGAGATATACTTAATGTAAATGACAAGTTAATGGGTGCAGCACACCAACATGGCACCTTGTATACATATGTAACAAACCTGCAAGTTGTGCACATGTACCCTAGAATTTAAAGTATAATAAAAAAATAGTTTATAATAAAAAAAAAACAAGCAAAAAACAACCCCATTTAAAAATGGGCAAAGGGCATGAACAGACACTTCTCAAAAGAAGACATATGTGGCCAACAAGCATATGAAAAAATGCTCAACATCACTTATCATTAGAGAAATGCAAATCAAAACCACAATGAGATACCATCTCACACAAGTCAGAATGGCTATGATTAAAAAGTCACACACAAAAAAAACATGTTGGCAAGGTTGTAGAGAAAAGGGAAGGCTTATACACTGCTAGTGGGAATGTTAATTAGTTCAGCCACTGTCAAAAGCACTTTGGGGATTTCTCAAAGAACTGAGAACTACCATTCAATCCAGGTATCCCATTACTGGATATATACCCAAATTAATAGAAATCGTTCTACCATAAAGACACACATACACATATGTTCATCACAGGACTTTGCACAACAGCAAAGACATGGAATCAACCTAACTGCCCATCAACAGCGGACTGGATAAAGAAAACATGGTACATATACGAGACAGAATACTGTGCAGCCATAAAAAAAGAATGAAATGATCCTTTGCAACAGCATGGATGCAGTTGGAGGCCATTATTCGTAAGCGAATTAATTAACAGAAAGCCAAATACTGTGTGTTCTAACTTCCAAGTGGGAGCTAAACACTAAGTACATGTGGACACAGAGGGGACCAAGAGACACCAAGGCTTACTCGAGGGTGGAGGCTGGGAGGAAGTTGAGGATCCAAAAACTACCTACTGGGTACTATGCTCACTATCTGAGTGACAAAATGATTTGTGCTCTAAGCCTCAGCGACACGCAATGTGCCCATGTTAACAAATCTGTGCATGTAACCCCTGAACCTAAAATAAAAGCTGGAAGGAAAAAAAACAAGTGGGAACTCAGGTTTATTAGAAAACTTTAAAATATGGAATGAATGTAGGACATTTTTAAAGAGAATAGTCAAAGGTTAGCAGAATAACCAAATGTTTTCAATGAAAAGATTACAAAAGTTGAAGTAACCACATTTTTAAAAAGCACAGCGTTAGCATATAAATGGGAGCATGCTTTTACTCTCCTCTTCACCCAAAATACATACTTCTACTACTTCCTCACCATGCTGAGGTCAAAAACTGGAGGCTTAGGGCTGGGCGCAGTGGCTCACACCTGTAATCCCAGCACTTTGGGAGGACAAGGCAAGTGGATCACCTGAGGTCAGTATTTCGAGACCAGCCTGGCCAACACGGCAAAACCCAGTCTCTACTAAAAAAAAAAAAAAAAAAAAATTAGCCAGGCGTGGTGGCAGATGCCTGTAATCACAGCTACTAGGGAGGCTGAGGCACGAGAATCGCTTGAACCCAGGAGGCGGAGGTTGCAGTGAGCCAAGATCGCATCACTGCACTCCAGCCACGCGACAGAGCAAGACTCTGTCTCAAAAAGAAAAAAAAAGAAAACCCTGGGGGCTCAGGATTCAACAAAGCATTGTTGAAAGCAGTCACTACCAATCAACCGGGCCTCAACATGAAATTATCTGCCATCGCAAGAACTTCAGTATCATAATTCTCACACATGAGAAAATTAGGCCTATGGTGATAAACCAATTGCTCAAAGTGGTAAAGACTATTTACTAGCTATTTCTGTAATATTTATTCCCACCATCAGTAACCAGACTTTGAACCTATTCTAAGTAGCAAGGTACTCATCTAAAAAAACTACATTCCCAACCAGGCGCAGTGGCTCACGCCTGTAATCTCAGCACTTTGGAAGGCCAAGGCAGGCAGATCACGAGGTCAGGAGATCAAGATCAACCTGGCTAACACGGTGAAACCCCGTCTCTAATAAAAATACAAAAAATTAGCCAGGCATGGTGGCCTGTAGTCCCAGCTACTCAGGAGGTGGAGGCAGGAGAATGGCATGAACCCGGGAGGCGGAGCTTACAGTGAGCCAAGATCACACCAATGCACTCCAGCCTGGGCAACAGAGCGAGACTCTCATCTCAAAAAAAAAAAAAGAAAAAAAGAAAAAAAAACTACATTCCCAGCCGGGTGCGGTGGCTCACGCCTGTAATTCCAAAACTTTGGGAGGCCAAAGCAGGTGGATCACCAGAGGTCAGGAGTTCGTACCAACCTGACCAACATGGTGAAACCCTGTCTCTACTAAAAATACAAAAATTAGCCAGGCTTGGTGGTGCATGCCTGTAATCCCAGCTACTTGGGAGGCTAAGGCAGGAGAATCGCTTGAACTCGGGAGGCGGAGGTTGCAGTGAGCCAAAATCATGTCATTGCACTCCAGCCTGCATGACAGAGCGAGACTCTGTCTCAGAAAACAAACAAACTACATTCCCAGCCTCCCTTGCAGCTACAGGTAGCCATGTGAACTCTGTGATAGTTCTAGCCAATTATATGTAAGAGAAAACATACAATATTTCTTCAAAGGAGGAGGCTGTGTGCCCTTGGACTCCTTTCTGTATTTTGCTTCATGGGACATGCATGTAATGTAATTGGGACTTTAGTAGCCATCAAGGAATCTTAGGGCAAAGGCCACAACCTAGAAATGTCTGAGAAGTTAGATAAAGGGAGACACTCCTGATGACTTTGCAGTGTAGAGGGACAATACCAGCCTCAGTACCTACCCTCCAGATTTTGAAGTGAAACAGAAATAAACACTCCTGTTCAAGTCATTATTATTACGGGGTTTTCAATCACATAAAGACAAACCTAGTCCTTACTGATATACCCGGCTGTTAAGAATTGGCCCAGAAATAGAAATCAGTTCTTCTGTCAAGAGTCCAGGATGCTCAAATATATAAAGATCTCTGTACAAGTCAACAAAAATAAATAAATAAATAAACTATATCCTTTTTAGGGTTGATATTCATAATTGTTTTATCTTTCTATTCTGTATGACCTAACTATAGCCCAATCTACACTGTGACAATTCCATTTTTAAATACTATTTAAAGTCCTCAATAATAAAAATCTGTATTTCAAAATACTTTAGAAAAATAAAGGGTAAGGTTAAGGAGAAACTTCATTTAACTATTTCAGTAAAAGAGGATGGAAAATAATGATTTTTATCACTCGTATCCCAAATGCATTTTTTTTTTCTGAGACCGGGTATTGTTCTGTCACCCAGGCTGGGTGGGGTGCAGTTGCAGGATCATAGCTCACTGCAGCCTCCAACTCCTCTGCTCAAGTGATCCTCCCACCTCAACCTCCTAAGTAGCTGGGACTAAAGGCATGTACTACCACACCCAGCTCCAAATACTCTTTGTTCTTAGCGTCCCTTAATTCAGAAAACTATCTGCTTCCAGCAAAACAGATTAAAACAACCAGCATTTTACTTATTTATGATTTCGTAACCTGGACTGAGCTTAGCTAGGTGGTTCCTCTGTTAATCTTTTTTTTGTGTGTGAGAGAGAGAAACAAGGTTTCACTCTGTCGCCCAGGCTTGAGTGCAATGGCAAGATAATGGTTCACTGCAGCCTCACCCTCCTGGGCTTGACCAATCCTCCCACCTCAGCCTCCTAAGTAGCTAGGACTACAGAGACATGCCACCACACTCAGCTAATTTCTGTATTTTTTTGTAGAGACAGTGTCTTGCTATATTGCCCGGGCTGGTCTTGAACTCCTGGGCTCAAGTGTTCCACATGCCTTGGCCTCCCAGAGTGCTGGGACTGCACAGTCATAAGCCCCCACGCCGGCCCCTTCGCTAATCTTACTAATCACTTTTGTGTCTGTATTCAACAGGCAAGTCAACTAAGGGCTGAAGGCAGCTAGGACACTGAGATAGTTAAGCCTCCCTCTTTCCATATAGTCCTGGAATCTCTTCCTCTCCACATCATCTCTCCAGCAAGGTATGACAGCTTCTTGCACGGCAGCAACTCAGAGCTCCCAAGAGTACAAAAGTAGAAGCTGCCTGACATGCTCAAGGCTTGTACCCAAAAATAGCAAAGTGTCATTTTTGCTATGTTCTACTGGTTAAAGTGAGTCACAGGGCTAGGCGAGATACAAAGAGAGATGACTATACAATAGCATGAATACCCATAGGCATGATTTACTATGGGTCTACACCAATACAGTAGACTACCATCTCCTTTATTTACTGTAAAAGTAACACCTTAATATATGACTTCTAGTATTCCATAATCTCTCTGGGGCTCAGTTATCTATAAAATGAGGGGTTAGACTCAATCTTCTTGAATTCTCATCTATTAATAGTTCTAATATTCTACAACTCTATAAGTATGAAAGTCTAATATAAGAAACACTTAGGGCCAGGCACAGTGGCTCACACCAGTAATCCCTGCACTTTGGAAGGCCAAGGTGGGTGGATCACCTGAGGTCAGAAGTTCGAGACCAGCCTGGCCAACATGGTGAAACCCCATCTCCATTAAAAATAGAAAAATTAGCCAGGCGTGGTGGAGGGGCGCCTGTACTCTCAGCTACTCCGGGGTCTGAGGAAGGAGAATCGCTGGAACCAGGGAGGCATAGGTTGCAGTAAGCCGAGATCGTGCCACTGCACTCCAGCCAGGGTGACAAGAGCGAAACTCCGTCTCAAAAACAAACAAACACTTGGCCATACTGACCAAACACTTCAACTATGGTAGAACAATTCAATGAGAACTTTAAGAATATGGTTATGTTTCATTTTGTCATTTTATATTCAACTATGTGCTTATTCCAAATGTGGTCCATATGACTAGAATCCCAAAGATCAGGAAATCAAGGAAATTCTTTTTTTGCTAGGCTCCACTAAAAGAACACCACCACACAGACTTCACTGAGACCATCAAGTATGCTGCTTCTAATGTAAATCGATTACAATAAGGTGTAAAGATTTAAAGTGACCAAGGATAAAAGATGTAAGAAATCATTTTAAAACCACCTAAAACAAGTCTCACTGAGGGAGGCCTACTAATAAAACCCTAGCCAGTAGAGTTATAATATGTAAAAATCTACTCTAACAACATTTAAAAGTTTGAGCAATAAAAAACTTTGGAATAATATTACTACATATACAACTCCTAGGGAATTGCTTTGACTGTTTTTCGTGTATTGCTCATAATGAAAAACATTTCATAGAGATTTCTGCTGACCTAGCTTTTTAAAAATCTTTCTTCTATATATTGGGGACATCTGCGTACAAAGAAAATCTTTGCCACCCCACTATCCCCGCCTCCAATAACAACTGCATTATTTTATGTCATAGTTTTTTTTTTTTTTTTTTTTTTTGGGAGATAGGGTCTCGCTCTGTCACCCAGGCTGGAGTGCAGTGGCATGATCACAGCTCACTGTAGCCTCCAACTCCTGGGCTCAAGCAATCCTCCCATCTCAGCCTCCCAAGTAACTGGAGCTACAAGTGCATACCACCGCATCCAGCTATTTTTAATTTTTTGTAGAGATGGGGATCTCACTATGTTGCCCAGGCTGGTCTCTAACGCCTAGACTTAAGCAATCCTCCCACCTTTGCTTCCCAAAGCACTGGGATTACAGGTGTGAGCCAACATACCCAGCCTTATATCATGGCATTTTTGGAGTGAGTTTGGTTTCTAATCACTTCTGTCTCTAAATAGTTTATAACAGGCAACTGATTGATAATTGATGATTAGTGGCAATGACAGTAACAACAGTAGTTAAATCCTTACAACAGCACCTCTTAATAGGACTTAGTCTATGCCAGAAACTGTTCTAAATTCTACACATATATATAAATTCATAACAATCCTAAATTAGGTGTATTATTACGTCCTCTCTACAGGTGAGGCAACCATAGCACAAAAAATTTAAGTAACTTGCCCAAGGTCAAACAGCTAATATGTAGTACAACCTAGACTTGAATCCAGAAGGTCTAGGCTCTATAATCAGTGATGCCCCCAGAATTTGGTTTTCTCATTTGTCAAATGATTTACCATTTCTGAAGTATTAAGCTTTTTTCTTTTTTTAAATGCATAAATGTATACTGAAAGAATATACTCCCCAGAGTTTTTTTTTGTTTTGTTTTGTTTTGTTTTTGAGACAGAGTCTCACTCTGTCGCCCAGGCTGGAGTGCAATGGCACGATTTCAGCTCACTGCAAACTCTGCCACCCAGGTTCAAGCAATTCTCCTGCCTCAGCCTCCCGAGTAGCTGGGATTACAGGCGCCTGCCACCATGACTGGCTAATTTTTGTAGTTTTAGTAGAGACGGGGTTTCACCATCTTGGCCAGGCTGGTCTTGAACTCCTGACCTCGTGACTCACCCTCCTGGCCTCCCAAAGTGCTGGGATTACAGGCGTTAGCCACTGCGCCCGGCCCCCAGAGTATTAATATTTATTATGTATTCTTCCCAATCTTTTTATATGCACAAAATATACACACAGTTTGGGTTTATGTGCTTTTCACAAAATAAAGTTACTGCTAAACTTACTGCTTTACAACTTTTGGAAAGGTTTTTCTCTAGTTCAACAATGTATCATAGACATTCTCCCACTTCAGGGCCCACAGATCTATCTCTATGTCTTGATTTAAAACTGCATGGTAGTCCATTGATGCATATTTTGTTGTTGCCAACTTTTCTCTACTACTAATACTGCTGCCATGAGCATCTTGTATGTATATGTTGTCCATTTGTCATGAGAATATATTCTGATTTCCTTTCTTGTTTTTCCGGGTATAACTGGTCCCCTATCTCCTAAGGGCAACAAAGCATCCTAATCCTTTACTAATTCCCATACGCCATATTCTCAGTGATTACATGTTAAGTCACATCTTTAAATACTTATCCTAATCGATTCCTCAACTCCAGTCCTACTTCCCCGAATGCTTAGCAGGCATCCAATCTATTTGGATGCCTGCTACAACATCTATGCCAGAAACTGCCGAATTCCTCCTTTGCAGTGACTGGAATCTTCCTCCCCATTCGCACTACCAACATTCTATGCTTTGGCTTGATCTCTCACACTACAACTATTGTAACAGCCTATTATCTCTGCCTCCAGGTAACTCCTGTCTCCATATTATTACCACAGTGTTTTTTTAATAATAGGCATCATTAAATCACCAAGTATTTGAGTGCCTACATTCAAATGCATAAATGCTAAACAGAATACAAAGTAATTTAGTAAGGTTCCTATCCTCAAGAATACTGTAAATACCTGCTTTGAAAACTTTCATTTAAAAAATAAAATAACTGGGCATAAAGCAGAGATTGAGACCTGTAGTCCCCTGGTGGTCCGCAGATTAAACCTAGCCTACAAAGTATAGGCGCAAATACCGTTTTAGATTCTAATTAATGAAAAACACTTAAAATCCAAGTTTAAAAATCATAAAAAGGGCTGGGTGCGGTGGCTCATGCCTGTAATCCCATCATTTTGGGAGGCTGAGGCAGGTGGATCACCTGAGGTCAGGAGTTCGAGACCAGCCTGGCCAACATGGTGAAACCCCGTCTCTACTAAAAATACAAAAAAAAAAAAAAAAAAAAAAACTAGCCGGGCATGGTGGTGGGTGCCTGTAATCCTGGCTACTCAGGAGGCTAAGGAAGGAGAATCACTTGTACCCGGGAGGCAGAGGTTGCAGTGAGCCGAGATCACACCATTGCACTCTAGCCTGGGCAACAAGAGTAAAACTCCATCTCAAAAAAGAAAAAAAAAAATCATAAAAATCCAAATTTCCGCCCTCTTGAAAAATCTAGAAACAGCATCTCAAATAGCAACCATCAGCCAGAATTCTGTATCAGTTTCACCTTAAGCAGGGCATAAGGACTCCTAGACTTCCCCAAGGCTGTTATTATTTCCCATTTTCTCCCCAACCCAAGGTCTAAAGTGTCAGTTGTCATTCAGATTCTTAGAAGCAGCCTACTGTTCATTTAAATTGCTTACCTGCTCCCTGTAAACAGTTTATAACTCCTGGACTACAGGATAAAGCCCAAACTCATGAGTCTGGCATTCAAGAACTATCACAGCTTGGCCTCACCACTACACACAGCCTCTGTTCTAGTCACACAGTCAGAAGCCACCCCACCTTTTACACCTCCTTCCCTCAATAATTTCATTCACATTGCTCCCTCACACACTCATTTTCTTGTCATTCTACTTGGCTAAATCCCACCAATCCTTCAAGGTCTAATTCAAATACTACTTCCTCCAAATCTTTGAGCACCCCTCTAGGCCACAATAAATCTTCCAGGGTTGACTGTTCATCCCAGGACATATTTAGCACTTTGTAGCTCTTTAAATAACATGTACCAAATGAAAGATCTAAAAAGTTACATAGAAGTATAGAAAACTTAAGACTTGTTAAACAATTTTACACTTGTAGATCATATGTAGTTACTGCCATCACAAAATTAACAGCAGAAACAAAGTGAAACAATTTTCCTTTTACCTGAGGCTTTTTCTAGAATATTACAAAGTGCAAAAAGAGCTGTGTCATTTGTTTCTCTCAACTTGTGCTCTTAAGTCCTTCAAATTCTGCAAATAAAGGGATCAACACTTCCAATTATAAATCCAAGATTGGTCTATTACTTTTTTTTTTTTCTTTTTGAGACAGAGTCTCACTCTGTCGCCCAGGCTGGTGTGCAATAGCATGATCTCAGCTCACTGCAACCTCTGCCTCCTGGGTTCAAGCGATTCTCCTGCCTCAGCCTCCCGAGTCACTGGGACTATAGGTGCCTGCCACCACGCCCAGCTAATTTTTGTATTTTTGGTAGAGACGGGGTTTCACCATATTGGCCAGGCTGGTCTCCCACTCCTGACCTTGTGATCCGCCCACCTCAGCCTCCCAAAGTGCTGGGATTACAGGTGTGAGCCACCGTGCCCAGCCTTTCTATTACATTTTCACAGATAACCACCAGCATATATCTACAAGCAATAGCTATAATAAAAAAAGAAATAATCTCAGCCGGGCGTGGTGGCTCACGTCTGTAATCCCAGCACTTTGGGAGTGCCGAGGCAGGCAGATCACCTGAGGTCAGGAGTCTGAGACCAGCCTGGCCAACATGGTGAACACCCATCTCTACTAAAAACACAAAAATTAGCTGGGTGTGGTGGCATGCGCCTGTAATCCCAGCTTTTTGGGAGGCTGAGTCAGGCGAATCGCTTGAATCCGGAGGGCGGCAGCCACAGTGAGCCAGGATCACGCCACTGCACTCCAGCCTAGGCAAGAGAGTGAGACTGTCTCAAAAAAAAGAAAAAAAAAAAAAAACAGAAATCATCTCTATTCTACTTCGTAACTTTTGCCACTTATCCTGCCAACAAGTTCTCAAAATAACCACTGTAGCACAAACATGATAAAGAAAATTTTTAAAGAGAAAAGGAAGAGATTAATCAGCTTTCTGAAATTAAAAGATAAAAATGGACCAAAACAATATAGAAAAAAAAAAGTAAAGGCAAACACAAACTCACACGCTGACTGTAAAGTTTATTCCATGGCAGCTAAAAGTTGTTTGGCCCAAACATCTCACAGATTAAAAACTAAATCACAACCTAACGAGGGTATCTAACACGTCCCCACCAGGCAAGAGTGCAGAGAGACCATCTAATGTTCCTATTTATTTAGAGAGTCTTGCTCTGTCACCTGACTAGAGTGTAGTGGTGTGATGTCCGTTCACTGCAGCCTCAACCTCCAAGCCTCACACAATCTTCTCTCAGCTCAGTCTCCAGAGTAGTTGGGACTACAGGTGCCTACCACCACACCCAGCTAATTTTTTTGTAGAGACAAGGCCTCACTTTGTTGCCCAGGCTGGTCTCAAACTCCTTTTAAATGAGGATTAAGTGATCCTCCTGACTCAGTCTCCCAAAAGTGCTGGGATTACATATATCAGCCACCACACCCATCCTTAATGTCCTTTATAACTGGAAACTGACCAATTTTCACCTTGGAAGGTCAATGAAGTTTCACGAAGCCCCTCCATCATAAACTTAAAGTGACTTAAGTTTACAGAGTTGGACAACCACTATCTACCCAGAGAAACCTGACTGTGGTCTGGGAAACTTTGCAGTTTTGCGGAACAGAGGAATGAGATGAAGCAGTGTGGCTTGTCACTTGGCAGATTAACAACAATTCTGGCATTATGGAATTAACTGAAATAGTACGAAAATGTAATAAATCACAAGTGTCAGAATGGGAAAACAAATTGTTGTGATACTTTTATATTTCCATGGAAATCCATGTTTATCAAGTTTACATATTAGTAACCAATATGTAAATTGGTAAGTTTACATATTAGTAACTAATATGTAAATTTATATATTAGTAAACAATATATAAATTTGTATAATAGACTAAAAATAACATCTTCTCAAATATTAGAAATTCCCTGGGCCAGGTGCGGTGTTTCATGTCTGTAATCCCAGCACTTTGGGAGGCCCAGGCAGGCAGATCATGAGGTCAAGAGATTGAGACCATCCTGGCTAACAGGGTGAAACCCCGTCTCTACTAAAAATACAAAAATTAGTCAGGCATGGTAGTACGTGCCTGCAGTCCCAGCTACTCCAGCTACTTGGGAGGCTGAGACAGGAGAATCACTTGAACCTGGGAGGCGGAAGTTGCAGCGAGCCAAGATCGCACCACTGCACTCCAGCCTGGGCGGCAGAGCAAGACTCTGTCAAAAAAAAAAAAAAAGAAAAAAAACAGGTTCTTATTCATGGGAATTTCAGGTCAGGTTAAACAACAACCTCCTAACAGGTAAGAGAGGGTAGCAATCCTGAGTCAACTTTTCAACTGAATTAAAACATTTCAGTGCCTATTGAGTCCCAGAGACCAATAATATCAAAAATTTTATCAGATCTCTTGGACAATAAATTATTAAGAATTGCTGTCATAAAAATTACAAATTTGCATTATCTCAAAAAGCATGAATAATAGTGCTGTCTCTCAACTATAAACTTGTTTTATTAAATGGTATATATTGTAATGCAGTACAGTTTTCTATCACTTATTTCAAATTCACAGCTATGAAAAGGAGAAATTTTGTTGGGGGAAGGGCGTTACAAATACAGAGTAGCAACCTAGCCATTTTTGCTGGTCCTTGTAATGACAATCACTGGTTGTGCCTAATTTTTCTACAACAATAATGCTTAAGGTGGCTCTCTAATAATAGCAATTGCCCTCTGAAAAGAAAGTGGTTCAGGGTATAAAGAGTTTACTCAAAAAAGGCCAAGGATAGTGCTTCAGAAATCCTATACCTACCACCTGCTGCTTCTGTACAACCACCCCCATCCCCCACACCCACACCCATTTCTAACATCAACTTTCATGAACTGGTAAGAAACATAGTAGAGTAGAATGTTTCTTTGGCTTCCCAACTTGGTAATGTGAATTTACAGTGTAAGGATGGAAAAAATAAGAAAAAAGCTTCAGAAAAATTTTTTAACATTAACACAAAAATAATGAGATCTTTAATATGTGCATATTCTGACAGAGGCCTGCCAATGGTTAAGACCTGTGCCTCTGATAAAGATGATGAACTACTCCAAATTATCAAATAATTTGATACTTTTTACAGTTAAGGAAAACTTTCAAATGAATGTAAATTTCACTGTGCCACTTGACATTTGTACAATAGGAAACCTCTATGTATTTACTTTTCCAACTCTAAGATTAATAGCTTCAGTTCAAGTTTCTTGATTTTAGGTAGTAAAATTTTAAGATATTTATAGTTAATGTAAAAGCAGTAACTATATAGCTATGCTTTTTATTCATGACAAAATACACAAAAACAATCTAGCTAACACTATAAGACAAGAAAATGCTTTATTTACCTAATTATTAAAAATTTAAACTTGAGGAAAGTGTAATTGGTGGTGCATGTTTTTTTAAGCCAAAGATAAATACATAAATCCACTTCATTGTCAAAAGGCATCTTCTCAGCGGGGTGCGGTGGCTCACGCCTGTAATCCTGGCACTTTGGGAGGCTGAGGAGAGTGGATTACCTGAGGTCGGGGGTTCAAGACCAGCCTGGCCAACATGGTGAAACCCTGTGTCTACTAAAAATACAAAAAATTAGCTAGGTGCGATGGCGCACACCTGTAATCCCAGCTACTCTGGAGGCTGAGGAAGGAGAATCGCTTGAATACACGAGGCAGAGGTTGCGGTGAGCCGAGATCATACCACTGCACTACAGCCTGGGCTACAGAGCAAGACTTCGTCCAGAAAAAAAAAAAAAAGGCATCTTCTCTACTTAATGTAACTCACTAAGTTAATGAACATCTAAGTAACATTAGCAACTTAAAATATCTCTATGAGATTTAGCAAAGAAGATTAATTTTCATTTCTCAGGTGAATTATTTGCAATTTCACATAATTTCACTGGTTACAAACCTAATTTACACTGGTTACACATAAGTTTCACTTTCAGGGTCTTTACTGTCCAACTACAGGGTCTTTTCTGCATGGATTCTTATACAGTATAGAGATACACAATTCAAAAACCTCTTTGCTTTCCAATTCATATGTTAGTTTCCATTTACATGTTGCTAAAAACAACTGGAGATTCCATTCCCTTCAAAAGACACAATTTCAAAAAAAACGCTCTAAAAAGTTTAGACCCGTCAAATTTACCAGTAGACTTTAATTTCCTATAAAGAAAGCAGTACTAGTTTTCAAATCTAAAAGAAAAAGCTCTCTACAGACTTACATTTGTTCTAAATATTTCCAAAAGTTTTGATTTTTCATAGTTAGATTATACTGTTATTCAGCAGAAATTTTTTATCTTCTCCAAAGGCTGCCTATTTCTTCATGAGATTCAGAATTAAAATAATAAAGTGGCAATACCCTAATCGTCCAGTGCACTCAGGAGCTGCACTAATACAAATGAGCTCATTTCAAAAGTAGGGTGTGTGCGAGTGTGCGCGTGCGTGTGAGTGTGCGCGTGTGCGCGTGCACAAGCACGCCCTTACAGGAGTATGGGGTGTGGGGTGTGACAACATAGATCTAATCTTTCTGGAGTAAGAATTCAAATGCAAATTTAAAACAATACTTGCAAATTAATGTTCAGTAAGAGATGAAGAAATGCTTTGCAAATAGTGAAATGGGAGGCAATCAAGGTAAAACCCCAATATGGCTTGTCCTGAGTTGCTTTAAAGGATGCAAAAAAAAGTGGCTTACATGTCTAAAAATTACTTAAACCTCCACTTCCTTCTACAAATTTCAGTTAATACAGAATAAGGGCATTTTATACTTGCCACTGTATTACAACGCAAGTGGCATAATAAATAAGTCCTAACTTTGTATCACGAACAAGCTAATGTAATAATGTACACACATCCTGTACTTGCTTCCCTCACGATTATCATAGCTAGGTAACAGCTGGCAATAAAATATGGAGGCAAGTTGAAGGCCCTGAATCATTTTCATAGTAAAAGGACAGCGGGGCAAGAAAAGAGCACATTCAAGTCAAGAGCTCAATGGGTTCCCACAACCCAGCTCTGCTATGCCTCAGTTCACGCTACTATTTTTACTACAAATCACCAAACAACAATACTATTACTAAGTGAATGCACCCGAACCAAAGAAACAGCCTATCCATAAACGTGCTGGCTTCCTTCACGTCCCAGCGCACCCTTCCACTCCCGACAGTTCAATGAGAATATCATCTCACGAAATGAGTAAGCACACACGCCATTCTACAACTTCGAGAGACATTCACAGTTCTTCCACGGCACACGCGAGAGCCACAGAAGCCGAGCAGTTCGCTGGCACTAAAACGGTGTCTTAATTTACAAGCAAAGCCGTCAAATAACCGTTCTGTAAGAAGACATTTCTGGTCCTCTAATAAGCTGGGGTCCAGCCCTACTGTACGCTCAAAGGCAGGCGACCCTATTCCCAAGCCCCTTACAGCTAAGACTTACGAGGGAAGCGACATTTACATCTGCACTCTCTCCGAATAAGTGCTCTTGGTATTCTGCCTTACGAGGGGACGCTGGCTACGTCTCCAAAACTTAGGCAGGCCGTTCCCCGAAGCTGGGGGATCCCACAGGACTTGTGCTTTCGGAGCCCGGGAGTGCGGTGCTGGGTGTTGGGGGAGGGGGGAGGAAGAAGTCAAATGGCTTCCTAATATATCATCAAAAGAAGAAAACACAGGTTTGGGACCAGGAAAAGTTCCAGGAGCAAGTCGCTGACAAACAAAAGCTGCACTCGCCCGGCCGCTTTCTTCTCGCCCCCAGCCCGCGCCCCGAGACCACCTGGCCCGGGCGTTTTGACAGCTCCGAGAGTTTCCCGAGCGCCGACGGCTCGGCGGTTCGCCCGGAGTCCGTCCGGGGACTACCTGGGCGCGCTCCGGGCTTGTTTTCTCAATGATCCAGCTAGGCCAAGACGCGGCTACGAGAAATTTCTCCAAAAGAAGAGTCGCGGAGAAGACCCAGTGAAAAGGCCCGACTGAAAAGTAAAGTGTGCGGAGCCGGGCGCCGGCGGGAGCCCGGGCGGGCGGCGCGGAGCGGGGGAGGCCGGGCGCGGGCGGCTACCGAGGGGCGCGGGGCCGGGGCCGGGAGCCGCCACCGCCCGCGGGCCCGCCCCGCCCCCACCCCGCCGGGGGGCGCCGGGGCGCGGAGGCCGCGGGGCGGGCGCCCGGTGACAGCTCCGGCCCGGCGCCGCCGCTGGCTCCCGGCCTGGCTCCCTCGCACTCAACTTACTTCTTTCTGGCTCTCTGGAAAGGGGAAGCGCCATCTTTGCGAGGCCGGCCCCGAGGTCTTTTGTCTGCGGCTGCGGGGCTCGGGGCCGGGGCTCCAGGCTCCTCGGGGGGTGGTGGCGGCGGCTGCGGCTGCTCCACGCTCTTGTCCTCCTCCGACGACATCCTAGTCACCAGGAAAGACACATGGATCCCGGTCCTCCTCCTGGGGGGCTCCCGCCGCCGCGGCCGCCGCCGCCGCCGCTGCTGCTCGGGTTCCTCCTCCCCGGCTCAGCCTCTCGCATTTCCCGCAGCCCCGGGAGCAGCAGCAGGTACCGGGAGAGGCGGCAACATGGAGCGAGCAGGACACGCACTCACACACATCGGCGCGGGCGCGCGCACCTCCGCGCGCAGGGGCCGGGCGGGGGGCGGCGGGCGGGGCGGGCGGTGCGGGGCGGGCGGGGCCGGCGGGTGCGGGCGGGCGGGGCAGCCGGGCGGGCGGGCGGCGTGAGGGGCGCCGGCCCCCGGGGTCTCCGCCCGCGGCCCCTCCCCCGAGCCGCCCGCGGCAGGAGGAGAAAGGGGCCCGGCGCGGGGAGGGCCGGCCGCGGGGCCCGGCGGGGGCGGCGAGGGGGTCGCGCCCCCGGCCGGCCGCCCCTCCCCCGCGCGTCAGGCCCGTCAGGCCCGGGCGGCGGCGGCGGCGAAGTTTTGACAGCTGCTCCAGTGGCGGCGCTGGGCGCCGGGCCGCGGCTCGCTCCTCACACTCGCTCTCTCACACACGCTCGCTCGCTCTCCCGGAGCAGGGGAGGAGGAAGTTTTGCGGGTGTGCTTGGACCCCACACACACGCCGCGCGACCGTGGCCGTCGCGCGAGGCCCGCGCCGGGGATCCCCCGGGGCGACCCGCACCACAGACCTCTCCAACTCGCAGCCGTCGCGCCCACACACCGCCGCCTCGACGGCCCCCGCCCGCTCCCCCACACTCGGCCCCTCGCCCGCCCCCCGCGCGCCGCCGCTGCCACTCACGGGCCTCGCTCCGCGCATGCGCCGCTCCCGCCGCCCGCGGACGCGCCGCCGCCGCTGACCTCACCGCCCCTCCCCCTCCCCCCCGGGTTCCCTCCCCCTGTGACGCGGCGGCCGGGCCCAGCCGCGACTCCGGCTCCGGCTCCGGCTCCGGCTCGGGAGGTAGCCAAGCTGTGGACCCAGAGATCCGGGATCGGGATCGGGGAACTGCGGGCGAGGGCGGGAGGGAGCCGCGGACACACGCCGAGGCGGCCGCGGTCGCCCGGCGCAGCCCGGCGCGAGGAGCAAATGTGCGCCCGCACGGCGAGGGCAGCCCGGGCTTCGCTGGTTCTCGCCGAGGTCTTTCCTCGTAGCGCCCACACTACGGGGAGGAAAAGGAATGGAGTCAACTTCGTTCGAATCCAACGCCAGTTAGTTTCCTTATTATAACGTCATTTTTTTTAATCCAGAAAAGGTTCATAAGGATGTAAGACGAAAAGAACGATGACAGCTCGAGAAATAAAACGGTTAGAGACAAAATAAGCCAATAAAAACCCAACCACTTGATTTTAACGTTCAGTGTGTTGTGATGAAGAGGCAAAAATCGAAGTACTTCTAAGCCACCTCTCATAATATGTAAAAATGGTAAAAAGAAAAATGGGGCTAGAATCCGCCTGAAAAATGCACTTTCTCAAGAAGGACAGTTACAAATATGGGATTCTGGATTTCTCAGGCTAATACCTAACACTTGGACGATGATCTATTCTGTGCTTTCCATTCACTATCGATTAGTTTATGAGAGTGAAAAAATTCTAGATTTGAATGGGGGGAAATAGTAAGACCTATCAACCATTTGTGAAGGATTGGGGTAAACTATCATTTAATAAGCATCTACTTTGGGCCTAGCGTTAAGAGGCACACTCTCATGTTGATTTCTTTTGATCTTCGCAGTGTAGTTTTAGTGTAAGGTAAAAAAAAATAGGCTCCTTTTCCAGCGATGTTTGCTTTCCCTTCTAGTAGCTAGGATGTTAACTTTAAACTGTGTCTTCTACTTGGGCAAAATACACACACTTTGATTCCCAGAGCCTATTCTAAATGAAAGCATAATTTTTTGAAATGGCTGAAATGAGGAATAACGTCAGATAGTCATTTGAATACCTTCAGGGTTTAATCCCTGCTGGCTCTTTCAAATTTACTAAATTTATAACCAAAGGAAATTTGGGATTGAGGAGGAGGCTGGCATGGTAAATGCAAACTAGAAATTAAAAGTGCCTGACGATTACACATAGAAATACAACATATATGTGACTAGTGATAAACATATGATGTGATCTAGTGAAAGTTTACTCAGTACAAATTTGAAAGCACCCTTTCTTTTTTCATTTTCTTCAGCACATTGTACTTTAAATAAAGTGTGCTTTCAAAACTGGATTATTGATCCAAATATTTAGCTGTGTTCCGTACTGAAATTAGAATAGGCACTTCCACGGTGAGTTTCACATGTACAAAATTATACATCAGGATAATTTACTTCCATACGCTTCTCCAGCACTTCTGAGAACTTAAGTGTCAGTGGATACAAATTGCAAGTCACTCCTGCTGGAGAGTTCACAAGAAACAAAGGGTACTAAGAGCAGAAAAGTGAGCCGAGTGAATGGAAGGGTAGAAACAGAGGTTTGTGCAGGGATGCTTCTGGATAGATGATGATGCAGGTAAGTAAACTCAGCCTGAAATCTCCATTCCTTTGGCCACTATGAGCAGGGAGTTGGGATCTGTTTTAAGAGAGCTGATAGCAGTCTCCTTGGCATGAAGTTATCATGAACAGAGCAAATCAAATATAACCCAGGATGCTGAGGAAGGATTCAAGGAATACTTATTCAACATAAATAAAGGTTTTCCAGAGGTTTTTCCGTCTCAGTCATCCAAATTACACAGCTCTGAGACCACAGTAGCAAAAATCTAGGAGGCAGGGAGCTGAGGTCCTTCAAAATTATGAAAGCAAAAAGGCAGGAGCATCTGGAAACAGTACCAAATACAACAGAAAAATATTAGAATGTGTACTTTCTAATAAGTATACATGTTAAATATGGGATTTTAAATTTAGGTAGATGTGTACTAACCTGTTAACCAATCATCTGCAAAGGGGTGAATTACAAGGGACTTTTACTGTCTAAAATATTTGAATATTTCAAAGCACATGTAGTAATCATCTAATCATATATATATATATATATATGTAGTTTTTAATGGGGAGGGAATGAGCATTGTTATCTTTGACAAAGAAAAACCAACATCTCAGAAAAATATAGGCAAGGAAGATTCTCAAAGCATCTAGCAAACAAGTGACAGTGAATAAAAATTCATAGTCCAATATTCATTCTTACTAATTGAAGGCCTATAACATGTGATTGTCTTTATTTAGAATGCACAGGTTCACTACTAAATGTTGTCTCTCTTGTTTTCCCATAAATTCCTCAGGGCTTTTTAGGAACCAAACTTTCACTGTTATAGAAGGACCACTGAAAGCTTAAATTTTAGATCTTAGAATTTTTGTGTTCATATTGTTATTATTAAAGTTGCACTGTAGGCTGGGCACTGTGGCTCATGCCTGTAATCCTAGCACTTTGGAAGGCCAAGGCGGGTGGATCACTTGAGCTCAGGAGTTCGAGACCAGCCTGGGCAACATAGTGAGACCTCCGTCTCTACAAAAAAATACCAAAGAAAATTAACCAGGCCTGGCTGGGCGCGGTGGCTCACACCTGTAATCCCAGCACTTTGGGAGGCCAAGGCAGGCGGATCATGAGGTCAGGAGATCGAGACCATTCTGGCTAACAAGGTGAAACCCTGTCTCTACTAAAAAAGCAAAAAATTAGCCGGGCGTGCTGGCAGGCACCTGTAGTCCCAGCTACTCGGGAGGCTGAGGCAGGAGAATGGCGTGTACCCGGGAGACGGAGCTTGCAGTGAGCTGAGATCGCGCCACTGCACTCCAGCCTGGGTGACGGAGTGAGACTCCGTCTCAAAAAAAAAAAAAAGAAAAAAAAATTAACCAGGCCTGGTGGCACATGCTTGTAGTCCCAGCTACTTGGGAGGCCGAAGTGGGAGACAGTCTTGCTCTGTCACCTAGGCTAGAGTGCAGTGATGCGATCTCGGCTCACAGCAACCTCCACCTCAAATTTGCCGGGCACGGTGGCTCATGCCTGTAGTCCCAGCACTTTGGGAGGCCAAGGCAGGCAGATCACTTGAGGTCAGGAGTTCGAGACCAGCCTGGCCAACATGGTGAATCCCCATCTCTACTAAAAATACAAAAATTAGCCTGGCATGGTGACGTGCGCCTGTAATCCCCGCTATTCTGGAGGCTGAGACAGGAGAATTGTTTGAACCCAGGAGGCGGAGGTTGCAGTGAGCCGAGATCGCGCCATTGCACTCTAGCCTGGGCAACAAGAGCGAAACTCTGCCTCAAAAAAAAAAAAATTCATATTGCTATATAAGTTATTTCAGTAAAGTATATCATGTGCCTGTTTGGTGGAAAAGTTAAAGGAAGAAACCAGGAAGGAAACAAGCAGAACAGTCATCTTCAAAAGTAATTTGTGTTTAAGAATGTGAGGCTTAAGTAGATGTTTTGCAGTACATTTTATATAGATACTAATCTTGCCCTCTAGGGGTCTATACTTTAAGCCTGGCAGTAGTAGTTAACAAGGATAAACACAAAAGGACAAGTAAGCAACTAGAAAATAAACATGGAGGCCGGGCATGGTGGCTCACGCCTGTAATCTCAGCACTTTGGGAGGCCGCGGTGGGAGGATCACGAGGTCAGGAGTTCGAGACCAGCCTGGCCAATATGGTGAAACCCTGTCTCTGTTAAAAATATAAAAACTAGCTAGGCGTGGTGGTGCACACCTGTAGTCCCAGCTACTCAGGAGGCTCAGGCAGCAGAATCCCTTGAACCTAGGAGGCGGAGGGTGCAGTGAGCTGAGATTGTTCCAGTGCACTCCAGCCTGGGCAATAGAGGCAGACACCACCCCCCCCCAAAAAAAAAGAGAAAGAAAAGAAACATGGAAAAACATACAAATAGAAAGATTAAATATTTACGTCCATTGTGTACAAGATCATAGTTTTAAAAGAAATGCATCTGTGGATTCAGGGGGAAGGGCAGCAGTGGGAGAAGTCATAGCAGACAACCATATCTATTCAGAAGAGGGTGACAGAACACATTCTGCTGGCAAGTATCATAAACTAGAAATTTTCAGGCCAGGCATGGTGGTTTACATCTGTAATCCCAGCACTTTGGGAGGCCAGGGTAGGCAGATCACTTGAGGTCAGGAGTTCGAGACCAGCCTGACCAACATGGTGAAACCTCGCCTCTACTAAAAATACAAAATTAGCCAGGCGTGGTGGCAGGCACCCGTAATCCCAGCTATTCTGGAGGCTGAAGCAGGAGAATTGCTTGAATCAGGGAGGCGGAGGTTGCAGTGAGCCAGGATCGTGCCACTGCACTCCAGCCTGGGCGACAGAGTGAGATGCTGTCTCAAAAAAAGAAAGAAAAGAAAGAAAGAAAGAAGGAAGAAATGGAATAGACAGCCCTATTCATCACCCTGCAGGCTGAAGCCTAAATTCCTTGGCTTGACTCACTAGGTCCTGGAGAGCCCCTGCTACCCTCTGGCGAACGTGCTCATCTCTTCCCCAGCTTTCCTTCTCACCTGACCACCAGTTTTCAGAACTCCTTCCAGTGGGCTACAAACCACCAGGCTGTCCCATCGCCCTTCCCCTTTCCACGAGGCCAGTTCCTACTTTTTCTTCGGCTCTTGCTTTAGACCTCTGCCCTCCGTGAGAATGGCTGTGTCCCCCTAAATGCTTCTGCCAACCTTGTGCTTTCCCCACTCACAGCTCTCATTGCCTGTAATGAAAGTGCCCAGATTAATGTCTATATTGTCCCTAAACCCAGCGGAGATGGCAGTAGTTATCTGCCTTATTTCCCCTATTCAACAGCAGCTCAGTGAACAGTTGTAGGGTAACTGAAATGAATATGAAAATATAGGTTAGGTGTTAGAAAAAGAGCTAAGAGGATCCTTTATAGGAGTGTTTATTTTATTTTATTTTATTTTTTGAGACAGGGTCTCACTCTGTCACCCAGGCTGGAGTGCAATGGCACAATCTCAGCTCACTGCAACTTCCACCTTCAGGGCTCAAGCAATCCTCCCACCTCAGCCTTCCAAGTAGCTGACTACAGGCACACATCACCACGGCCGGCTATTGTTTTGTATTTTTAGTAGAGACAGGGGTCTTGTCATATTGCCCAAGCTAGTCTTGAATGCCTGAACTCCACCTGGCTGAGGCCTCCCAAAGTGCTGGGATTATAGGCTTAAGCCACCGCCACTGGCCAGTCGTGTTTATTTTATTTATTTATTTATTTATTTATATTATTTATTTATTTTTTTTTTTAGACTGAGTCTCGCTCTGTTGCCCAGGCTGGAGTATAGTGGTGCAATCTCGGCTCACTGCAATGTCCACCTCCCAGGTTCAAGAGATTCTCGTGCCTTAGCCTCCCGAGTAGCTGGGATAACAGGCACCCACCATCACACCTGCCTAATGTGTTTATTTTTTTAAAAAAAGAAACTGTATCTTTAGAGAAAATGTATACATGCATACTTTGCTACATTTTTGTTGATTGTTACATTTTACATTTGTATAACAATACAGGCAAGTCATCTTTGCACTCATAACCACATCTTTTATGGAACATCAAGCCTACTCTGAGGTACAGGCTTTCAGAAGCCTGAATTTGGAGGACCATGCCTGAACCAAATGGAGTCTCCAGAATCAAAACTGCTCAAAATAATCATTCATGGTTCTCAGACCAAATAAGATCTACTTAGAAACATTTCTCGACAGCACGCTGCCATGCCGACGCAGACCCCACTCTGCACGCCAGCCCCCCTGCACCCACCATGGCCACAGTTCAGCAGCTAGAAGGAAGATGGCGCCTGGTGGACAACAAAGGCTTTGATGAATACATGAAGGAGCTAGGAGTGGGAATAGCTTTGTGAAAAATGGGCGCAATGGCCAAGCCAGATTGTATCATCACTTGTGATAGCAAAAACCTCACCATAAAAACTGAGAGCACTTTGAAAACAACACAGTTTTCTGGTACCCTGGGAGAGAAGTTTGAAGAAAACACAGCTGATGGCAGAAGAACTCAGACTGTTTGCAACTTTACAGATGGTGCATTGGTTCAGCATCAGGAGTGGGATGGGAAGGAAAGCACAATAACAAGAAAACTGAAAGATGGGAAATTAGTGGTGGAGCGTGTCATGAACCATGTCGCCTGTACTCGGATCTATGAAAAAGCACAATAAAGATTCCATCATCACTTTGGACAGGAGTTAACCAAGAGAATGACCAAGCTCAGTTCAATGAACAAATCTCCATACTGTTTCTTTCTTTTTTTTTTCATTACTGTGTTCAATTATCTTTATCACAAACATTTTACATGCAGCTATTTCAAAGTGTGTTGGATTCATTAGGATCATCCCTTTGGTTAATAAATAAATGAGTTTCTGCTAAAAAAAAAAAAAAAAAAAAGAAAAAGAAACATTTCTCAGGCCGGGCACGATGGCTCACAGACCAGGCACAGTGGCACACACCTGTAATCCCAGCACTTTTGGGAGGCCGAGGCGGGTGGATCCCCTGAGGTCGGGAGTTTGAGACCAGCCCGACTAACATGGAGAAACCCTGTCTCTACTAAAAATACAAAATTAGCCGGGCATGGTGGCACATGGCTACTCCGTCCCAGCTACTCAGGAGGCTGAAGCAAGAGAATTGCTTGAGGCAGAGGCTGCGGTGAGCCGAGGGTGAGCCAAGATCGCCCCATTGTACTCCAGCCTGGGTGACAAGAGCGAAACTCCGAAACTCCATGTCCAAACAAAAAAAGAAACATTTCTCTGAGCCAAGATAATGTTGAGAAGGAAATGATTACAGAATAGCATATATGTATCATAATCTTATGTAACATGGTGTAAATCTATAATTATGTATGCATACAATATGTGCAAAGTAGTAATGTTCATCAAGTTGTAAACAACGGTTATCTCTGAACTAGGATTCCAAATGACCTTTCCCCTTTTTTTTTTGAGACAAGTCTCACTCTGTTGCCCCGGCTAGAATGCAGTGGTGCAATCATGGCTCACTGAAGCCTCAACCTCCTGAGCTTAAGCAGTCCTCCCGCCTCAGCCTCCCAAAGTGCAGGGATTACACGCATGAGCCACCACACCCAGACTAAATATGTGTTAAACTAAAGCAGAAGCATCATTACCCGAGTAGGCTCTATAGGAAGAAAGAGGAGACGAGTGAGGAAAGGAGAGAGAATGAAAAAAAGAGACTTAAATTGTAAGCATTGAAGGTTAGGATGGGAAGGCGATTCGCATTTAAACCTCAGGGCCCCATTTAGGCTTCTACCTCCCTGACCGCTGGGAGGCTGGTTGCTTTTCACCCCTCTGGGTTCACTTCTATTTGTCTGTGAGCTGTCAGCATCCTTCCCCGCTTGTCTTGCCCTGCCTCTGCCAGGGAGGCAGAGTTGGGAGTCGTGGCACAGGCATGCACGCTGTGCAGCCTCCCACACCTGCACCCTGAAAGACCAACAGACACCCTAAGAAACCTGATACACAAGCACAAACTGATAAGATACCCAAAAAGGCAAAGGCAGACAGATAGCAAAACATGGCTAATATTACACAGTACTGCAAGAGAAAGTAACACCAAAACAAAACAAAACACAGACATCGTCTCTCAGTTCCTTCTCAAAAAAAAAAAAAAGGCCAGGTATAGTGGCTCACACCTGTAATCCCAGCATTTTTGGAGGCCGAGGTGGGCAGATCACTTGAGGCCAGGAGTTCGAGACCGGCCTGGCCAACTATGGCCAACATGGTGAAACCCCCCATCTCTACTAAAAATACAAAAAATTAGCCGGGCATGGTGGCTGGCACCTGTAATCCCAGCTACTGGGAGGCTGAGGCAGGAGAATTGCTTCAACCTGGGAGGCGGAGGTTGCAGTGAGCTAAGATTGTACCACTGCACTCCAGCCTGGGCAACAGAGTGCAACTCTGTCTCAAAAAAAAAAAAAAAAAAAAAAAAGCGTGGGTGTGGTGGTGGCTCACACCTGTAGTCCTAGCACTTCGGGAGGCCAAGGTGGAAGGCTCTCTTGAGGCTAGGAATTTGAGACCTGCCTGGACAACATACAGAAACCCTGTCTCTATAAAAAATAAAAAAACTAGCTAGGTGTGGTGGTGTGCGCCTATAGTCCCAGGTACTTGGGAGGCTGAACAGGAAGACTGCTTGAGACCAGGGAGTTGGGCCTGCAGTGAACCATGGTCATGCCCCTGCACTCCAGACAGGGTGAAGTGGGTAGTTTTTCACTTGATCTCCTCCTTATTGTATCTAACGTTTAAACAAGTCTCAGACCTGGTGCAGAGGTGCATGTACCTCCATTGCTGGACAAGGCCTGACTTTTGCCTGCTGGTAGGGCCTCCTCAGTTCTAACCAGACTTCTGCGACCTCATTCTCTATCCTGGTTCCATTTTCCACTTTGTGACTTCATCAGTTAAAGATCCCATTTCAGCCACCAAGGTTGAGAGGCCCCAAGACCCAGTTCCTTTACAGAATCAACCCTGGGGTGGCTTTAGGACTGGGCTCTTTGGAGCTCATCCTTGGACCCACAGTGGAGCGCTGGTCTGTGCTAACATCTTCAGATACCAATCAATGGGCATTTGGCTCCTTGCTTCCACTGACCTCTTGAGTACTTTCAACGATCGGTGTCAAGGGTGCCCCTGCTGCTGTTTCTAGAGCATCTCTGCAACCCACGGTGGCCTCTCCTCTTTCTGCGGGCCATGGACAGCACAGTCCCTTCAGCCCTGGAGCTGCCCCAGCGGCTGGCACTGAACCCAAGGGAGAGCCCAAGGAGTCCGGAAGAGGAGGAGCCCCACCTGCTGAGCAGCTTGGCTGCAGTCCAGACCCTGGCCAATGTCATCCGGCCTTGCTATGGCCCCCATGGCCGGCAGAAGTTCCTGGTGACCATGAAAGGAGAAACAGTGTGCACGGGGTGTGCCACTGCCATCCTCAGGGCCCTGGAGCTGGAGCACCCAGCGGCATGGCTCCTCCGGGAAGCAGCCCAAACCCAAGCAGAGAATAGTGGGGATGGCACAGCCTTCGTGGTTCTGCTGACGGAAGCCTTGCTGGAACAGGCAGAGCAGCTGCTGAAGTTCGGCCTGCCTCGCCCGCAGCTCCGGGAGGCCTACGCCACAGCCACTGCAGAGGTCCTGGCCACACTGCCCTCCCTGGCCATCCAATCTCTGGGGCCTTTGGAAGATCCGTCCTGGGCCCTCCATTCTGTGATGAATACCCACACCCTGCCCCCCATGAACCACTTGACCAAGCTGGTGGCCCACGCCTGCTGGGCTATCAAGGAGCTAGACGGCAGCTTCAAGCCTGAGCGTGTTGGGGTGTGCACGCTGCACGGGGGGACACTGGAGGATTCCTGCCTCCTCCAGGGGTTAGCAATATCTGGGAAGCTCTGTGGGCAAATGGCCGCAGTGTTAAGTGGTGCCAGGGTGGCTCTCTTTGCTTGCCCCTTTGGTCCTGCCCATCCAAATGCACCAGCAACGGCCTGTCTTTCTAGTCCTGCTGATCTAGCTCAATTTAGTAAAGGAAGTGACCAATTACTAGAAAAGCAAGTAGGCCAGCTGGCAGCCGCGGGAATTAATGTGGCAGTGGTGTTGGGGGAGGTCGACGAGGAGACCCTCACACTGGCGGACAAGTATGGCATCGTGGTGATTCAGGCTAGGTCTCGGATGGAGATCATTTACCTGAGTGAGGTGTTGGACACACCGCTGCTGCCTCGTCTGCTCCCTCCCCAGAGGCCAGGCAAGTGCCAGAGGGTTTACAGGCAGGAGCTGGGAGATGGTTTGGCTGTGGTATTTGAATGGGAATGTACAGGCACACCTGCCCTCACCGTGGTTCTCAGGGGAGCCACCACCCAGGGGCTGCGGAGTGCAGAGCAGGCCGTCTACCACAGCATTGATGCCTATTTCCAGCCATGTCAAGATCCCAGACTGATCCCAGGAGCTGGGGCCACAGAAATGGCTTTGGCAAAAATGCTCTCTGATAAAGGAAGCAGATTGGAAGGGCCCAATGGGCCTGCATTCCTAGCATTTGCCCGGGCCCTGAAGTATCTTCCTAAAACCTTGGCAGAGAATGCAGGCTTAGCTGTCTCAGACGTGGTTGCAGAAATGAGTGGAGTGCACCAAGGTGGGAACCTCCTAATGGGTGTGGGAGCTGAAGGGATAATAAATGTGGCCCAGGAAGGGGTGTGGGACACCCTAATAGTCAAAGCCCAAGGATTTCGAGCAGTGGCTGAGGTGGTGCTACAGCTCGTGACTGTAGATGAAATCGTAGTGGCCAAGAAAAGTCCCACACATCAGCAGATCTGGAATCCTGACTCTAAGAAGACAAAGAAACGCCCACCTCCTGTGGAAAAAAAAAAAATCCTTGGAATGAATAACTAGTGATACCCTCAATAAAACAGGGATTGCCAAGAAGGGAACAATCACCCCAAAAATGAATGTTTGCCTTTATTCCATGTTTGGTACTTGATTCAGTTTCTTTAAATAAAAACATGAAGGAACATAAAATTTCTTTTCATGTGCTTAGTTCCTTTCCAGTTCTCGAATTTTTTTTTTTTTTTTAGAGATGGAGTCTTGCTCTGTTGCCCAGGCTGGTGTGCAGTGGCATGATCTTGGCTCACTGCAACCTCCGCCTCCCTGGTTCAAGCGATTCTCCTGCCTCAGCCTCCCGAATAGCTGGGACTACAGGTGCGCGCCACCACACCCAGCTATTTTTTTGTATTTTTAGTAGAGACGGGGTTTCACCATATTGGCCAGGCTGGTCTCGAACTCCTGACCTCATGATCCTCCTGCCTCAGCCTCCCAAAGTGCTGGGATTACAGGCGAGAGCCACCGTGCCCGGCCAGTTCTTGACCTTTTCGTTTTCTGTTTCTCTCTATCAGATTCTCTTCCTTTCCTACGATAAGAGCAGGATTCAATTCTATTAAGATTTTTAAACTGAGTACCTATGTGGGCTTTGGGCATGCAAAACACAGTGCAGCAATCTCTTCCCAACTATTTGAGCATTCCCTGCATGATATTCTGACATATATGGACTTATGTCTAGATGTCACTTTAGGAGTCTGAAAACATCAGTTGCAGCTTACAAGAGTGGTCAGTCCTTCCTGTTGTGGTTATTTGAAAAAAAAGAAGGGACTATCATCTTAAAGCACAGAGAGAGAGAGAAAGCAGGAAAAGGGGCTGCTGTGCTGGCAGGCAGAAATTTAACTTAAAAAAAAAAATCCTTGCCTGACACAGTGGCTCATGCCTGTAATTCCTGCACTTTGGGAGGCTGAGACAGGAAGATCGCTTGAGTCCAGGAGTTCAAGACCAGCCTGGACAACATAGTGAGACCCTGTCTCTACAAAAATAAAAATTAAAAAAAATTAGCCAGGCGTGGGCCGGGCGTGGTGGCTCAAGCCTGTAATCCCAGCACTTTAGGAGCCCGAGGTGGGCGGATCACCTGAGGTCAGGAGTTCAAGACCAGCCTGACCAACATGCAGAAACCCCATCTCTACTAAAAATACAAAAAAGTAGCCGGACGTGGTGGCACATGCCTGTAATCCCAGCTACTTGAGAGGCTGAGGCAGGAGAATTGCTTGAACCCGCGAGGCAGAGGTTGTTGTGAGCTGAGATGATGCCATTGTACCCCAGCCTGGGCAACAAGAGCAAAACTCTGCCTCAAAAAAAAAAAAAAAAAAAATTAGCCAGGCGTGGTGATGCATACCTGTAGTCCCAGCTACTCAGGAGGCTGAGGTGGGAGGATCACTTAAGCCCAGGAGATCGAGGTTGCAGTGAGCTGTGATTGTGCCACTGCACTCCAGCCTAAGAGACAGAGCAAGACCCTGTCTCAACAAAACAAAACAAACCAAAACCAGCAAACATCCTTGGCATAGATAACAGAAGATAAGAACACATACCTTAGGACTATGCTAAGGTTGTTGTGTAGGTGAGGAGAAAGCTGAGGGTAGGGGGAAGGGCTAGGATTGGACAACCTTGGGCATTAAAGAAGGGGTCTAAGCAGAGGTGAGTGGGTTCAGCACCTAATACCCAAAGCTTTTTCCACATTTTTAACCATCCAAGTTACCCTAGGAAAAGATCAGAACCTATGGGACAGAATCTAGGAGATGAGAAGGTACAATCTCTTAGAATCATAAAAATAAAAAAGCTTTAGGCATATGCAGAGAGAATGAGACTCAAGAAACCATTGTCTTATAGCACGCATATTAGCCGCAACACAGCAAAACAAAATTTTATTTATTTATTTATTTTGAGACAGAGTCTTGCTCTGTCACCCAGGCATAGTGACTGGTGTGGCCCAGGAACCAGTGCAGCGGTGCAGTCTCAGCTCACTGCAACCTCCACCTCCTGGGCGCAAATGATTCTCCTGCCTCAGCCTCCTGAGTAGCTGGGACTACAGGTGTCCACCACCACACCTGGCTAATTTTTGTATTTTTAGTAGAGACGGGGTTTTGCCATGTTGGCCAGGCTGGTCTCAAACTTTGGACCTCAGGTGATCCACCTGCCTCGGCCTCCCCAAATGCTGGGATTACGGGTGTGTCCCACCCCAATTTGCTATATCTTGATTTTGTCTAGAATCTAAGTATCCTCTTTAATGTCATCTTTAAGTGTCCTTTTTTTTTTTTTTTTTTTTTTGAGATGGAGTCTCACTTGCCCAGGCTGGAGTGCAGTAGCATGATCTCGGCTCACTGCAACCTCCACCTCCCAGGTTCAAGTGATTCTCCTGCCTCACCCTCCCAGTAGCTGGGATTACAGGCGTCCGCCACTAAGCCAGACTAATTTTTTTGAATTTTTGTTTTTTTTTTTTTTGAGATGGCATCTCACTCTGTCACCCAGGCTGGAGTGCAGTGGTGTGATCTCAGCTCACTGCAACCTCCACCTCCCAGGTTGAAGAGATTCTTCCGTCTCAGCCTCCTGAGTAGCTGGGACTACAGGTGCGCGCCACCATGCCTGGATAATTTTTGTATTTTTAGTAGACACAGGGTCTCACCATAATGGCCAGGCTGGTCTCGAACTCCTGACCTCGTGATCCACCCGCCTCAGCCTCCCAAAGTGCCGGGATTACAGGCATGAGCCACTGTGCCCAGCCAATTTTTTTGAATTTTTTGTAGAGACGGGGTTTCACCATGTTGGCCAGGCTGGTCTCGAACCCCTGACCTCAAATGATTCGCCCGCCTCAACCACCCAAAGTGCTGGGATTACAGGCATGAACCACCAACCCCAGCATAAGTGTCCTCTTTAGTTGTCAAAACATGTGACTCAAACATCAAGTTGGTTTTTTTCTCCTACTGACTATGGAGAAGTTGACCAGAATTTGACCTCAATTTGGCCAGATCCAGACTCTTCTTCTGAGATTACAGGATCAAGGTCTCCTAGCATGCTAGGTCTCAATCCTCAAAGGCTTTGGCTTTGGGGTTGGCTACATATTTCTCTTCCAAGATGAGCTGCTTGCTTCAATTCCAGAAGCAGTTGAATTTCAGAAATGACAATTCCTGGAGGACATTTTCTTTTTCTTTTTTTTTGAGAGGGAGTTTCGCTCTTGTTGCCCAGGCTGGAGTACAATGGCATAATCTCGGCTCACCACAACCTCCGCCTCCCAGGTTCAAGCGATTCCTCTGCCTCAGGAGTAGCTGGGATTATAGGCATGTGCCACCACACCTGGCTAATTTTGTATTTTTACTAGAGACGGGGTTTCTCCATGTTGGTCAGGCTGATCTTGAACTCCTGACCTCAGGTGATCCGCCCGCCTTGGCCTCCCAAAGTGCTGGGATTACAGTCATGAGCCACTGCGCCTGGCCATTCCTGGAGTACATTTTCTATAAGAACTTGTAGCTGGTGGACTCATCCCAGACCCCTTCCAGCTTTGTGACACTGCTTTACTGTGCTCCAGCTTGATCTAGCAACCAGAGAACAATAGCCACAATCCAGAGAAAACGGGAGGAAAATGAGAACTGAGTCCTCGGAAATGAAGGAGATGAGAGGCTGACTTGGATAGTGGAGGCTGGGACTGAGCCTTGGGAACTGCTCATCCATTTGGGCTATATGTAGGCCAGTCATGGTGGCTCATCACCTCTAATCCCAGTAGTTTGAAAGGCCAAGGCAGGCGGATCGCTTGAGGTTAGGAGTTTGAGACCAGCCTGGACAGCGCACTGATACCCCTTTTCTACAAAAAAATAAATAAATTACCCAGGTGTGGTGGCATGCACCTGTAGTCCCACTTATTCGGAAGGCTGAGGCAAGAGAATCTCTTGAACCTAGGAGGCAGAGGTTGCAGTGAGCCGAGATGGTGCCACTGCACTCCAGCCTGGGCAACAGAGCAAGACTCCATCTCAAAATAATAATAATAATAAATTAAAAAATAAAAATTAACTGGGCATGGTGGTGCACACCTGTAGTCCCAGCTACTGGGGGGGGCTGAGATGGAAGGATTTCTTGAGCCCAGGAAGTCGAGGCTGCAGTGAGCAGTGATTGGTCCACTGCACTCCAGCCTGGGTGACAGAGTGAGACCCTTTCTCAAGAAAAAAAAAAAAAAAAAAAGACTTCAATCTACAAAAACATTGGAGTTCTGATGAAGAGAAAAAGGTATCAATTCCAAACTGTGAAAAGAACTGTGAAGAGAAGATTGAAAACAAAACAACAGAAAAGAGTTGTCATAGTTTGCCAGTCCTTTCTCTACATGGGCCAGCCTCTTCTCATGCGTATTGAGTTGTTTCTCCAGAGTCTTTTTTTTTTTTTTTTTTTTTTTGAGATGGAGTCTTGCTCTGTCACCCAGGCTGGAGTGTAGTGGTGTGATCCCGGCTCACTGCACCAGTAGACAGGTATGACAGATATTCCAAAAGTAGATGAGTCACCTTTTCCCCTGAAACATCAAGAATCCCCACCCCCCCAACCCCCCCCCCCCCGCCCCCCGCCGCAGGCTAAAGATCCTCTTTCCTAACTAGGGAGGAAGAGGAAGAAGGTTAGGGTAAGAATGAGGGAGATGGTGGTAGAATCTCTGAGAGGGATTCTACTCACCTCCCAGTGGGTTCCAAGGAGTGAGATTGGGGAAAGGACAATTAGAATCCGCAGCAAAGTTTGGGGGTCTGAGAAGAGAGGAGATTCTCTGCTTCCAATCTGGAACCCTGGGGCCCCAAGGAGTTCCCTGTGCCAACCAGACAGCAGAGCTGTAGACCAGGAATGGCTGAGGCCTCGGGCGGAGATGGGCCCCGGGTAGTTGATGGGATGTTCGCGGTGCTGAGCAGCCTCAGAGAACAGCCAGGGTCCCCCATGAAGCAGCAACCATGAAGCCGCTGAACCTTAGGGCATTTCAAGGTCATGAGAAAAGGTAGGATTGTAAACTTTAGCTGAGGCTTGAGAAAGACAGAAAATGACCTCAGACCACAGGACACCAAGATGCTGCATCAGCCCGTGGACTGGAGACTAATTGTGGGGTGAATGAGAGAAGGAGGTGAAGGAGAAGATCAAGAATGGACTTGGTTGAGGTTTAGCCTGATCAGGAAAAATCATAAAAGGCCAAAGTTTACCTGGAATTGACTAGATTAATTATTTTACCATCAGGCAGAAAAAGGGGCTAGAAATAGAAATACTGAGATGATTTAGTTATAAAAGCATAGCACGAATACTTCCCACACATTGAAGCGTAGGACTTAAGAATTTAAACTCTCGGCCGGGCATAGTGGCTCATGCCTGTAATCCCAGCACTTTGGGAGGCCGAGGCAGGCAGATCACCTGAGGTCAGGAGTTTCAGATCAGCCTGGACAACATGGTGAGACCCTTTCTCTAATAAAAATACAAAAATTGTCCAGGCGTTTTGGTGGGTGCTTGTAATCCCAGCTACTCGGGAGGCTAAAGCAGGAGAATCGCTTGAGCCTGGGAGGCAGAGGTTGCAGTGAGCCAAGACCCTGCCACTGCACTCCAGACTGGGCAACAGAGTGAGACTCCATATCAAAAAAGAATTTAAACTCTCTACAAACGTGAATTTTCTTTTTTTTTTTTTTTTTGAGACAGAGTCGCTCTTTCCCCCAGGCTGGAGTACAGTGGCACAATCTTGGCTCACTGCAACCTCCGCCTCCTGGGTTCAAGTGATTCTCCTGTCTCAGCCTCCCAAGTAGCTGAGATTACAGGCACCTGACACCACGCCCGGCTAATTTTTGTATTTTTAGTAGAGATGGGGTTTCACCATGTTGGCCAGGCTGGTCTTGAACTCCTGACCTCAAGTGATCCACCTGCCTCTGCTTCCCAAAGTGCTGGGATTACAGGTGTGAGCCACCACACCCGGCCAAATGTGAATACTGAATAAGGACTTCAGACACTGTCCTCTGGGTATTACCAACAGGGTTTGACACTAGTAATTGCAGCGCCACATAAGAAAGACCAGACGCTGGTTAGCAAAACAATGGTAATCCTCTGCAATGCAGCACATGTTTGAGAAGCAATTTTATACAGTAGACAGGGTGGAAAAAATGGCTCTTTGGAAGTTTTCTTCTAACTCACAGAATGCATCAGCAAGGAAAGATAGATCCCGGCAAGCTCAGGGGACATATGCCTCTCTATAGTGAAAAATATTTTCTTTCTTTTTTTTTTTTTTTTTTTTTAGATGGAGTCTCCCTCTGTCGCCCAGGCTAGAGTGCAGAGGCGCAATCTTGGCTCATGCAAGCTCCGTCCCGGGTTCACGCCATTCTCCTGCCTCAGCCTCCTGAGCAACTGGGATTACAGGCCTCCGCCACCACGCCCAGCTAACTTTTTGTATTTTTAGTAGAGATGAGGTTTCACTGTGTTAGCCATGATGGTCTTGATCTCCTGACCTTGTGATCCGCCCGCCTAAGCCTCCCAAAGTGCTGGGATTACAGACGTGAGCCACTGCGCCCGGCTGAAAAATATTTTCATATCCAGATCAACATTCATTTCTTAAAACATCTTAACACATGTCCTCTGCCTCCTGTGTCCACAGACTCCAGAACCCTAGCATTCCAGAATCCCCCCTCCCTACTGTGGCTGCTCCCCTCTTGGCAGGCACCCCAAGTTCTGGACTAGTATTTCCCCTACAGAAGAGAACAATATCAGCCAATCTCAGACTTCCCTATGCAGATGCAACATATTATGTTTCCTATTTCATTCCTAGTCAGTCATTTTGATTGCAAACCTCCTTCTATTTCAATTTTATTACTGTGGGTTTCTTTTTGTTGTTATTGTTTGTTTTTTTTGAGACAGAGTCTTCCTCTGTCACCTAGGCTGGAGTAAAGTGGCACAATCTCAGCTCACTGCAGCCTCCACCTCCCGAGTTCAAGTGATTCTCCTGCCTCAGCCTCTCAAATAGCTGGGATTACAGGTGCGTGCCACCACACCCAGCTTATATATATATATATATATATATTTTTTTTTTTTTTTTTTTTTTGAGACAGAGTCTTGCTCTGTCACCCAGGCTGGAGTGCAGTGGCGCGATCTCGGCTCACTGCAACCTCTGCCTTCCAAGTTCAACTGATTCTCCTGCCTCAGCCTCCTGAGTAGCTGGGATTACAGGCATGCACCATCACGCCCGGCTAATTTTTGTATTTTTAGTAGAGACGGGGTTTCACCATGTTGGCCAGGCTGGTCTCAAACTCCTGACCTTGTGATCCGCCCACCTCGGACTCCCAAAGTGCTGGGATTACAGGCGTGAGCCACCGCGCCTGGCCTATATAGATATATTTTTTGCATTTTTTGTAGAGATGGGGTTTCATCATGTTGGCCAGGCTGGTCTCAAACTCTTGACCTCAGATGATCCACCTGCCTCAGCCTGCTGGGATTACAGGCGTGAGCCATGCACCAGGCTAGTGTAGTTTTATTTACAAGAGGCATAACAATCCATGAACCAAGATTGAAATATTGTTTCAGTTGAAAATAGTTTCTAAAACTACTTGTGATATTTTCTATGTTACATTTTGAGAAGAATCTATACTTGCCTTAATTCCTAAAACTAAATAGAAAACATTTCAAAATATACTCATATGTTACTGAAATTTAAAGTCTTTTTTTTTTTTGAGACAGAGTTTCGCTCTTGTTGCCCAGGCTGGAGTGCAGTGGCATGATCTCGGCTCACCACAACCTCTGCCTCCCAGGTTCAAGCGATTCTCCTGCCTTAGCCTCCCGAGTAGTTGGGATTACAAGCATGTGCCACTACGCTCAACTAAATTTTTGTTTTGTTTTGTTTTGTTTTAGTAGAGATGGGGTTTCTACATGTTGGTCAGGCTGGTCTCAAACTCCCAACCTCAGGTGATCCACCCACCTCGGTCTCCCAAAGTGCTGGGATTACAGGCATCAGCCACCATGCCTGGACTGAAATTTAAAGTCTTAATTTAGATGTTCAACATCTTACAACAAAGATACAATCTATAAAATCTGATGTTCTTTTTTTTTTTTGAGACAGAGTCTCACTCTGTTGCCCAGGCTGGAGTGCAGTGGCACCATCTCGGCTCACTGCAACCTCTGCCTCCTGGGTTCAAGTGATTCTCCTGCCTCAGCCTCCCAAGTAGCTGTGACTACAAGCAGGTGCCACCACGCCCAGCCAATTTTTGTATTTTTAGTAGAGATGGTGTTTTGCCGTGTTGGGCAGGCTGTTCTCAAACTCCTGACCTCAAGTAATCTGCCTGCTTTGGCCTCCTGAATTGCTGGGATTACTGGTGTGCGCCACCACGCCCAGCACTGGATTTTCTTAAATTTCTCTTCTTTCATTTTTTTTTCTCTACTGAGCACTTCAGCTTTTAATAAAATTTTCTTCTTTTATCTATGAATACTCGTAAACTTTTTTTGGGGGGGACTTATCCAAATGAGCTTCTCAGAGTGTTGCAAGCTAAACATCTCCTCTCATTCTGCATAGAAACAGTGGAGTTCTGGAAGTAAGTGTAACTATTTACCTTTCAAGTCAATAAACCCAAGGGTGCACTTCGGTTTATTGTTCGAACAATTTGAACATTTATTAAGTGCCAACCCTTGTAAAGAATTACCCAGCAACCAGAATTCAACTTGGTCAGCAGGCAAGGAGTCTCGATCAGACAAACTCGCCATTTTGAAATATGAAAAATTATGCCGGGCACGGTGGCTCACGCCTGTAATCCCAGCACTCTGGGAAGCCGAGGCGGGCAGATCACAAGGTCAGGAGATCAAGATCATCCTGGCTAACACGGTGAAACCCCATCTCTACTAAAAATACAAAAAATTAGCCGGGCGTGGCGGCGGGCACCTGTAGTCCCAGCTACTAGGGAGGCTGAGGCAGGAGAACGGTGTGAACCTGGGAGGCGGAGGTTGTAGTGAGCCGAGATTGCGCCACTGCACTCCAGCCTGGGCAACAGAGCGAGACTCCGTCTCAAAAAAAAAAAAAAGAAAAATTACATGGAAGATGGCTGGAGAAGACAAGGGTCGCATGCTTCTGTGTGCCACTGCCACAGAAACATCCCGGGTGGTCAGCCCCTCAGTGAATGAATGGAGCTGTTTTGAAACCAGTGGGATGATGACAACTGTGGAAAGACCCCACTCGGATCTCCTGCTGCAGGTGTAATTGACTGAGAACCTCAACTGCTGTCCTCTGAATCTACCACCACCACATTTACAATAAGACCGTGCTTCCTGAGGGCTACGCCCAGACAGCGACTATGGGATAATAAGGTCACTTCCTGCCAGATTCTAATGGGGACTTGGGTCAGTTTGGCCAAAATCATCTGAGAGCTGCACTGCAGTCTGGGACCCTCCTACTTACTCTGTTCTCTTTTCTTTCTGGGGGGTCAAATTTCCCCATTCCGGCCAGGCGAGGTGGCTCACACCTGTAATCCCAGCACTTTGGGAGGCTAAGGAGGGCGGATCACCTGAGGTCAGGAGGTTGAGATCAGCCTGGCCAACATGGTGAAACCCCATCTCTACTAAAAATACAAAAGTTAGCCAGGCATGGCAGCACACACCTGTAATCCCAGCTACTCAGAAGGCTGAGACAGGAGAATCGCTTGAAGCCAGGAGGCAGAGGTTGCAGTGAGCTGAGATCTCACCACTGCACTCCAACCTGGGTGACAGAGCAAGACTCTGTCTCAAATAAATAAATAAATATAAAAATAAATAAAATTCCTCATTCCTCCAACTTTCTCCACTTTTTTCCCCTCATCAGTGTTTCTTCCATAAATCTCTTGTATGACAATCGTCTTGGCATCTATTTTTCAAAGGACCTGAACCAACACAAGGTGGTAAAATACTAACATAAAGTTACTGATTTAGCCGGGTGTGGTGGTGCATGCCCGTGGTCCCAGCTACTCAGGAGGCTGAGGTGGGAGGATCGCTTGAGCCCAGGAGGTGGAGGTTGCAGTGATCCAAGATAGCACCACTGTGCTCCAGCCTGGGCGACAGATTGAGACCTCGTCTCAGGAAAAAAAAAAAGTTAAAATTAAAAATATAAAAAAAGATGACTGATATAGTTTGGATATTTGTCCCTGCCCAAATCTCATGTTGAAATGTAACCCCTAGGGTTGGAGGTGGGGCCTGGTGGAAGGTGTTTGGGTCTAGGGGTGGATCCCTCATGGCTTGGATAGCCAGTGAGTTCTCACAAGATCAGGTTGTTGTAAACTGTGTGACACCTCCCCCATCCCTGCTATAGCTTCTCCTTCCACCATGAGTAAAAGCTCCCTGAGGCCTCCCCAGAAGCCAGGCAGATACTGGTGTCACGCTTCCTGTACAGCCTGCAGAACTCTAAGTCAATTAAACCTCTTTTCTTTTTTTTTTTAAGACAGAGTCTCACTCTGTCACCCAGGCTGGAGTGCAGTGGTGCAACCTCAGCTCATTGCAGCCTCCGCCTCCCGGGTTAAAGCGATTCTCCTGGGATTACAGGCGCCCGCCACCATGACTGTATTTTTTTTTTTTTTGAAACAGAGTCTCCTCCTGTTGCCCAGGCTGGATTGCATTGGCATGATCTCAGCTCACTGCAACCTCTGCCTCCCAGGTTCAAGCGATTCTCCTGCCTCAGCCTCCCGAGTAGCTGGAACCACAGGCGTGCAGCACCCCGCCCAGCTAATTTTTGTATTTTTAGTAGAGACGGGGTTTCACCATGTTGGCCAGGCTGGTCTCAAACTCCTGACCTTAGATGATCTTCCCACCTCAGCTTCCCAAAGTGCTGGAGATTACAGGCGTTAGCCACTGTGCCCGGCCTAAACTTCTTTTCTTTATAAAATACCCAGTCTCAGGTATTTCTTTATAGCAAGGCAAAGAAAGGCCTAATGCGATTTCTCTCTAAGAGGTTGCCTTTTCCTAGTACTTGATTTGCCCTACCAGGTCAGCAACTCTCCTCAAATGTCAGTCAAGGAGAGACAACTTCAATTTATAGCCAACTACCACACCAATCTCTTTCATCCTAAGAACAATTCCCTATGCCACTCCTTAATGGTACACGAAGGGCCATGTCTCAACTACACCTTCCCCATCTTAACAAGAACACGAACACACACACACACACCACACACTCTCAAGTGCCATTATTCATTTTGAACCAAGTAAGCTTATCCTTTGAAGGCACTCTCCATTTCTCCCCTTAATGAGGCATAATTACTACATTAATAATAACACAAATAAAATGCTTCCCATAAGAATAGCATTTCCAGGCGGGGGCGGTGGCTCACACCTGTAATCCCAATACTTTGGGAGGCCGAGGCGGGTGGATCATCTGAGGTCAGGAGTTCAGGACCAGCCTGGCCAACATGGTGAAACCCCATCTCTACTATAAATATAAAAATTAGCCAGGCGTGGTGGACACCTGTAATCCCAGCTGCTTGGGAGGCTGGGGCAGGGGAATCGCTTGAACCTGGGAGGTGGAGATTGCAGTGAGCCGAGATCGCACCACTGTACTCCAGCCTGGGCAGCAAGAGCGAGACTCTGTCTCAAAAAAAAAAAAAAAAAAAAAAAGAATAGCATTTCCAAGCCTTATACATAAACAGTACCTCATTTGATCCTCATCATAACATCAAGGGTAGACATGACCAGTATTATTAGCCTCACTTCACAAAGGAAGAAACTGAGACTCAGACTGTTGTCTCTGGGTATCAGTTTCCAAGTCTGTCCAATGAAGGATTGAGCCCTGTGACCTCTAAGAACTCTTCCACTTCTAAAATTGTATAATTTCCATAATTTGTCTGACATCACTAAGACAGTAGTTAGTGGCAGATTAGGGACCTGAGAGAATGACTTGGTGCCAGGCTGATTCTCCCACAACGTGTTATCTTTGCTGCCAATAGCAATGGCTAACATCAGCTATGCGATATGTCCTGCACTGTGCCAGTTACTCACGAGGCATTGTTATTTATTTATTTATTTATTTATGTATTTATTTATTTATTTATTGAGATGGAGTTTCACTCTTGTTGCCCAGGCTGGAGTGCAGTGGCGCAATCTCGGCTCACTGCAACCTCCGCCTCCCAGGTTCAAGTGATTCTCCTGTCTCAGCCTCCCAAATAGCTGGGATTACAGGCGTCCATCATGCCTGGCTAATTTTGTATTTTTAGTAGAGACAGGGTTTCACCACGTTGGTCAGGCTGGTCTCCAACTCCTGACCTCAGGTGATCTGCACGCCTCAGCCTCCCAAAGTGCTGGGATTAGAGGCGTGAGCCACCGCGCCAGTCCAGAGCATTGTTGAATACCTACTCAGCATTGTCCTCCATCCCGCTGCGTAAATGTATTGAGATTTCAGTTACATACACACTTAATGGAGAAGGCGACACCACCCCTGCTCCAAGGATGTACTCTGATCGACACTTTCCATTCTTCTGGCCATAGTCATTGGGTGACTTGGGGGCTCTGAACTGGAATGCCGGAACAGAAGTACACTCTCTCCTGCTGAACATACATTAGGAAGCACTGGCTTCTGCTGCTACTGGCAGCCTCTCTGTGGCCCTAAGGGGAAGCCTCAGGATTCTTGTTTGGAACTGATAGTTTTTAGCAGCTAAAATCTGAGACGTCTATACCGTATCCTTAAAACTCTGAATAAACAACATAGGCAAAGACAGATGATGTCACTGAGACCCAGAGAGGATATTAGACCTTGCCCAGCATACATTACCTATTGGGGGCCAGTTAGGACTAAATTACAAGTCTCCAGCAACTGACCTAGGGTTCTCTTGGCCTCAGCATGTGGAAGGGGCCCCACGTGCAAAGGTTCCGGATAAAGATCAGACTGTGATCTAGCTGATGAACAGAACCCAGAAGTATGTTTGAGGGGGAGGAAGGAGGAGGCTAAGAGAGGCCTTCTTATGTTCTGCTTTTTTGCCCTGAGGGGATGACACTTAACCACTGCAGAGGCTGCAGCTGAGCCGCAGGGATGGTCACACTGAACCAGTAGTTCTTCCCTTCCCCCACTCTAAACCTCTGCCAAGCAGAGAGCCTCTGAGACTGCTCTGGAGAAAGGGGCTGCCTGCCAACTATCTGCCCACCTGGGGCCAGGGTGAGGGCAAGGCCAGTGGCTACATTCTGTGAACAGCTGGAAAAAAAGTAGGCAACACAGTGGCCTTGGGACAATGGCCTTCCCACTCTCCTTGTCACGAAATAGCAGGATTAAAAAAAAAGGGGGGGAGGATATTTATTTAATCCTTTTGTTACAAATTAAAGTTGCTAATTTGTTTTCAAAAATTGCAGGAAATAAAGTACACGAATCAAAGAAACACAAAATATTTAAAAACAAAATAGCTATTCTCCCAACTTTCTTACTTATAGGTATGTCTATACAATTGTGGCAGAATCCAAAGGGAAGGACAGTTTGGTTAGTCCATTTGGTCACAGCAAATGTACCTGTTCATTTGTTCATCAACGATTTGTTGAGCACTCACCTTGTGCCCTGAAGATACAGTTCAGAAAAAACACCGAAAAGGCCCCTGTGTCCAGCAGCTCACATCTTAATGGTGGAAGGGAGATGAAGGAGAACAGACCATAATAAGTAAGTAAACAATGATTTCAGACTGTGCCAAGAGCTCTGAGGAAAACACGGTGATATGATAGGGAGCGGGGAAAGGTACTTTAGGTACAATGTCAGAAATGCCTCCCCCAGGCCAGGCGAGGGGGTGCAAGCCTGGAATCCTAGCACTTTGGGAGGCCGAGGTGGGTGGATCACTTGAGCCCAGGAGTTTGAGACCAGCCTGGGGTTTCACCATGTGAAACCCAGACTCCACAAAAAAAAAAAAAAAGACAAAAAAAATTGGCTGGGTGCCATGGCTCATGCCTGTAATCCCAGCACTTTGGGAGGCCAAAGCAGGTAGAGCTCAGGAGTTCAAGACCAGACTGGCCAACATGGTGAAACCCCGTCTCTACTAAAAATACAAAAATTAACTGGGCACCATGGTGGGTGTTTGTAATCCCAGCTACTTGGGAGGCTGAAACAGGAGAATCACTTGAACCCAGGAGGTGGAGGTTGCAGTGAGCCGAGATCATGCCACTGCACCCCAGCCTGGGTGAAAGAGCAAGACTCTGTCTCAAAATAAATAAATTAATTAAATTAAATTAAAATTAAAAAAATTAGCCAGGTGTGGTGGTGCATACCTGTAGTCCCCACTACTTGGGAGGCTGAGGTGGGAGGATCACTTGAGCCCAGGAGGTCAAAGCTGTAGTGAGCCGAGATTGCACCACTGCACTCCAGCCTTGGAGCCTTGGCAACAGAGAGAGACCCTGTCTCAAAAAAAAAAAAAAAAAAAAAAAAAAAAAAGAAAGAAAGAGAAAGAAAGAGAAAGAAAGAAAAAAGAAAAAGAGGCCAGGTGCAGTGGCTCATGCCTGTAATCCCAACACTTTGGGAGGCTGAGGTGGGCAGATCACTTGAGGTCAGGAGTTCGAGACCAGCCTGACCAACATGGCGAAACCCTGTCTCTACTAAAAATACAAAAATTAGCTGGGTGTGGTGGCAGGCACCTGTAATCCCAGCTACTAGGGAGGCTGAGGCAGGAGAATCACTTGAACCTGGGAGGCAGAGGTTGCAGTGAGCCAAGCATGGGCGACAGAGTGAGACTCCATCTCAAAAAAAGGAAAAGGAAAGGAAAGGAGGAAGAAACGAAGAAACGAAGGAAGAAAGGAAGAAAGAAAGAAAAATAAAGAAAAGAGAGAGAAGAGGGAAGGGGAGGGGAGGGGAGCAGGGAAGAGAGGAGAGGCTGGGCCCAGTGGTTCACACCTGTAAGCTGAGGTGAAGGAGTTTGAGACCAGCCTGGCCAACATCGTGAAACCCCATCTCTACTAAAAATACAAAAATTAGCCAGGGTTGGTGGCACGTGCCTGTAATCACAGCTACTCAGGAGGCTGAGGCAGGAGAATCGCTTAAACCTGGAAGGCGGAGGTTGCAGTGAGCTGAAATCGCACCATTGCACTCCAGCCTGGGCGACAGGGCAAGACTCCGTTTCAAAAAAAAAAAAAGGAGAAAGAAACAAAGAAAGAAAGAAAAATGCCTCCCCAAGGTGACAGACGAGCTAAGCCAGGCGAAAAGTCTAAAGAAATTCAAGTGCAAAGGCCCTCTGGCAAAAAGGTCTTGGCAGAAAGGTGGTCAGTGTGCCTGCTGCACTGAAACTGCTCCTGTAAGGCAGGGATCCTATAAGGTAGGCCTTGAATGTCATGATGGGGAGCTCGGTTAGGACCCCCATGATAGGTAGGAAGGCAGCTGGAAAGAGCAGTTCTGCCATTTTTACGGATACATTCATGAGCCATGATGGGTCGTCCTGGTGGACCTCTGGAGCCTGACCTGGGTCCACGTTTGAGGTCTCCGACTTTAGTGACCCTGGGAAAGTTACTTGAGTTTCCTCATTTGAATAGCCAAGGGTTTCTCGTGTTTGATGCCAAATGCCTTGTGCGGGGATTGGCTCCAAACCTCAGCCTCATCAGTCAATTTATCCTTACGTTCAAGAGCAGCCATTTACAAAACGAGCTCAGAAAATTAAAAAAAAAATACAAACTTTAAATCGCCAGAATACTGCATAAACTAAAAGTAGGCCGGGCGCAGTGGCTCACGCCTGTAATCCCAGCACTTTGGGAGGTCGAAGCGGGCGGATCACCTGAGGTCAGGAATTCGAGACCAGCCTGACCAACATGGAGAAACCCCGTCTCTACTAAAAATGCAAAAATTAGCTGGGCATGGTGGTGGGCGCCTGTACTCCCAGCTATTTGGGAGGCTGAGGCAGGAGAATTGCTTGAACCCAGGAGACGGAGGTTGCAGTGAGCTGAGATCGCGCCACTGCACTCTAGCCTGGGCGACAGAGCGAGACTCCATCTCAAAGCAAACAAACAAATAAAAACAAAGTAAAAGTAAATTCCCCAGGCAAAGCTGATTATATTGCTGGGATAATCGACTTTGTCACTGCAGTCTCACTTGGTACTTTAAGAAACTCCATCTTGATCCTAGGTCTGGGTCGATCTGGGCGTTCCTGCTAATTTTCTGTTTTAAAAACCTAAAGCAATAAAAATGTTGATATTGACATTTATCATTTTTATCCTCGCCCTCTGCCTTGTTTTGCTGGGAGATCTGTTCCACTTGGCTGAGTTTAGGGAGGGCGGGGAAGCGGGGGAGAAACCGAGGCGCAGGGTGGAGAAAGGGAGAAGCCTTGCAGACTGAACACATGAGAAAACCTGGAGAAGGGATTCGCTGCTGCTTATTTCAGGGAAGAAAACCGAGAAGTGAAGCACAGAGGGGTCAGGTTCCGGGAGCGGCGGGAAGGTTGTAGGGGGCCCCAGGGCAGGTCCTGGAGCTCAGGCAGCCGGCACCGGGAGCCCAGCTCAGGCTGCGGGGTGCAACCGGGCAAGAGCGCTCGGGCTGCCGAAACGGGAGGAGATCAGAAAAAGGAGAGACATGGAAAAAAGGAGAGGAAGAGGAGCAACACTCAAGAGGGAAGGAAGAAGGCAGACACTGAGGAACGCCCGCAGGAACCCGCAGACAAGCAGAGAGCCGGGCTGCGCTGGGAGCGGGGCCCGCGGAAGGGGCGGGGCGCCAGGCGGCTCGAGGCCAATGGGAGGGCGGGCCGGGGCGAGGGCGGGGCACTAGGCGAAACGACGCCAATGGGAGGGCGGGCCGGGGCGAGGGCGGGGAATTAGGCGGTGCGAGGCCAATGGGAGGGCGGGCCGGGTCCTCTGGGCTGAGGCGGGGTGCCAGGCGGCACGAAGCCAGTGGGAGGGTGAGTTAGGGGCAGGGGCGGGGTCCCAAGCCAATGGAAGGGTGATACCGAGAGGGCGGGGCGCCAGGCGGCGAGAGAGCCAATGGGAGGCCGAGCCGAGGACCGCGGGCGGTGGGCCTCCCCCCGAGAGGAGGGAGACCCGGAAGGCGGTGGGGGCGGGGAGTGGAGCTGACAACCTGTCAAATCCACTTTGGGACGAACTAGGTCACGCGCTCCGCGGGTCGGGCACCCCCGCCCGCCAGGCACGGCCGCGGCTCCTTCCTCTTCCTGCCCGCGGTAGTGGGGGTGGGGCAGGCCTCGGGACACCTGCCTCCGCCGCCGGCCGCCGGCCGCCGTCCTCGCGCGGCTTCCCGGGCGGCTCTGCCCCGACCGTAGACTCCCGGCCCGCTCGCCGCGGCAGGAGCCGTGGTTCCGCGGACCTGGGCGCGCTCTCTCCCTGGCCACTGGGAGACCCCCCGCGGCCTCGCGGGGAAAACCTCGGGACTGCCCCGCGCCCCCGGCCGTCTCTGCGTCGCTCCTTCTCGCCCGCGACCGTGGACTCGTCCTCGCGAGCCTGGGTTGGCGGAAGCTGCGGGGGCCGGGGTCGCACTACTTGGCGCGGAAGGGCCGGCGGTGGGCGGAGGGATCCCCGTCCGCGGGGTGAGCCGCTGGGCGGAGCCGGGAGGAGCCGCGAGGATCCGCAGTGGGGAGCCGGGAGGAACCTGGCGCCGGCACCCACCCGCCGCGCCCACGCGTGCCGCGGTCGCTTGTTTCCCGCGGGAGCCCGGCCGCGCTCGGGGGGAGGCGCGCGCGCAGCTGGGGCTGCCTGGGTCTAGGAGCTCCGGAGCCACCGTTTTGTGCCCGTGGAGCCGCGGGGAAGGCGCACGCGCTCGGGTCTTCCCGGCGGGTCGTCCTGCACTTTCTCCCTCTCCGGTACGGACCGCGGCGTTCTGTTTCCAGGCAAAGGAAAATAAGTCAAAGACTCAGAAGGCAGCCTGAATCCAGGGCCTGGGATGCAGGGTTTGCTGGAACGCCAGCCGGTGCGATCGCGCCCCTGGGATTCCGCTTAGCCCGCGCGTCCATTTCCCTGCATGGTGGACTCAGTAAAGCCGGATCTGTCCAACGCCTGCAGCGTGGATGTGGAGGCGGACTAATCAACTAGTGCTCTGTTATTATTTCTACCCATCCCTTTTCTCCATGCTAATTTGCTTAGAACTTTAACATTGAATGGACAGCAAATGTCATGTTCTGTTTAATTATCACTCCTTGACCATTATGTTAATTTCTTTCCCTAACAAGGTGACGCATTGTTTTAAGTAACAATGACCAACTCATCTACTCTTCTTCCAAATTGTGTAAATTGAAGGGTAAAATGTGGGAAAACGCTAAATTTGAATGCTAAATTTGAACATTTCACACAACAATAATTTGAAATGCTTCTTTGCAATATTATGGCGTTTCGGAACAGATAAAAATACTTCATTTTCAGACATTTGGTCAACAAATACTTCTTGGACGTTTATATGCAAAGCAATGCATGTAACATTTTCATTACTTTGCAAGTGTGCTTATCAGTAAAAGAATTTTGTTTTAAATTCTAGCCTTCGTTTAAATGTATTTTAGTTACCACATTGGGAAGAAAATAAAATATTACTATGTACGGAATGTACAGACGTATGTTTTTTTATTTACAAAAAATAGAAAGAAAATATGGCCGGGTGCTGTGGGTCACGCATGTAATCCCAGCACTTTGGGAGGCCGAGGCAGGCGGATCACCTGAGGTCAGGAGTTGGAAACTATCCTGACCAATATGGTGAAACCCACTCTCTACTAAAAGTACAAAAATGAGCCTGGGCGTGGTGGCGGGTGCCTGCAGTCCCAGCTGCTTGGGAGGCTGAGACGGGAAAATTTCTTGAACCCGGGAGGCGGAGGTTGCAGTGATTGTGCCACTGCACTCCAGCCTGGGCAACAGAGCGAGACTCCGTCTCAAAAAAAAAAAATCTATATCTATATATATATATAGATATATAAAGATATAGATATATAGATATCTATATCTAGGTCTATATAAGTATATATCTATAGATATCTATATATAGGTCTATATAGATATATGTATAGATATATATAGATACCTATATATCTAGATAAATGTATAGATATATAGATCTATAGAGATATCTATAGATCTATATAGATGTATGTATAGATATATAGATCTATGGAGATCTCTATAGATCTATATAGATATATGTATAGATATATAGATATCTATATATAGATATATAGGTCTATATATAGATATCTATATATAGATATATATGTTCCTTAAATTCAACATTAAGAATGAGCTTATTCATAATTAGCTGTAGTATTACACTTGAACTACCATATTTATTACATTTATAAATACTATTTATAAATAGTAATATAAATAGTAAATGCTATTAACATTTAGTAAATGCTATTAAGGTAGGAATAGAGGTTCCAATCTTTTAAATAGAAATTAAATACAAACAAAGCAACAAAAAGAGACCTTTCATATATGGTTATTGGCTTGTCATTGTAGCCAGTTCCTTACTGCCAGCTAATTTTCCAAAGGGAATCGTTGCTTTCTGTTTTGACCAATTGGCAACCTCAACAGTGCTAGAAACTCTTAGCCCTCATTGGGTATATAAATATATATCTTATTTCAAATGTTTTGTTATCTATTCCTACTGAAGGTTGTTTTCTTCTCTCTTTTTTTTTTGAGACGGAGTCTCACTCTGTCACCAGGGCTGGAGTGCAGTGGCGCGATCTCGGTTCACTGCAACCTCTGCCACCGGGGTTCAAGCGATTCTCCTGCCTCAGCCTTCTGAGTAGCTGGGATTACAGGCGCCCGCCACTATGCCCAGCTAATTTTTTGTATTTTTAGTAGAGATGGGGTTTCACCATGTTGGCCAGGCGGACTCAAACTACTGACCTCGTTATTCACCCGGCGCGGCCTCCCAAAGTGCTGGGATTATAGTCATGAGCCCGGCCCTCTTTTTTTTTTTCGTTTTTTTTTTTTTTTTGTGCTCATCATTTTGATCTTAATACCCACTAAAAAGATAATAAAACCACAAGTGTTTTTCTTCAGATCACGAGATTGTCAATAATAGAAAGTCAACACTGTCAAATCATGAGAATGAATTGCATATCATTGTACAAAAATTGAATACTGGAATTTAGCTCCTAGATCTATTATATTACCATAATAAGAAAAACTAAAGAATTAAAAAATCTAAACAAAATGCAATCCTAAATGATATTGCGGCCAGGCACAGTGGTTCACACCTGTAATTCAGCATTTTCGGAGGCCAGAGCAGATGGTGGCTTGAGCCCAGGAGTTGGAGACTAGCCTAGGGAACATGGCAAAACCTCATCTCTACAGAAAGGAAAAAAGGCAAAACCTCATCTATACAAAAAATTAGCTGGGCGTAGTGGCACATAGCTGTAGACCTAGCTACTCAAGAGGCAGAGGCAGGAGGATTGCGTGAGAACGGGATGTCGAGACTGCAGTGAGCCATAATGGCGCCACTGCACCCCAGCCTGGGCAACAGAGCAAGACCCTGTCTCGAGACAAGTTCGTCTTGCTGCATTTCAGTATTTTTAACTCCTTTAATGTAGTGTAGACAATTTTGATATGATGTGTCACATCTTTTTTTAACGTCTAATTTCTTTTTTTTTTTTTTTGAAACGGAGTTTCACTCTTGTTGCCCAGGCTGGAGTGCAGTGGCGTGATCTCTGCTCACTGCAACCTCTGCCTCCCGGGTTCAAGCAGTTCTCCTGTTTCAGCCTCCCAGGTAGCTGGGGCTACAGGTGCCTGCCACCATGCCCAGCTAATTTTTGTGTTTTTGGTAGAGACGGGGTTTCACCTTGTTGGTCAGGCTGGTCTCGAACTCCTGACCTCAGGTGATCCACCCACCTCGGCCTCCCAAAGTGTTGGGATTATAGGTGTGAGGAACCTGGCCTTAACGTCTAATTTCAGAAGAAAGCTAATTCTCCTTTTTTTTGGGGGGGGGGGACAGAGTCTCGCTCTGTCACCCAGGCTGGAGTGCAGTGGCGCGATCTCGGCTCACTGCAAGCTCCGCCTCCCGGGTTCACTCCATTCTCCTGCCTCAGCCTCTCCGAGTAGCTGGGACTACAGGCGCCCACCACCACGCCCGGCTAATCTTTTTGTATTTTTAGTAGAGACGGGGTTTCACCGTGGTCTCGATCTCCTGACCTCATGATCCGCCCGCCTCGGCATCCCAAAGTGCTGGGATTACAAGCATGAGCCACCGCGCCCAGCCGAAGAAATCTACTTCTTTCCGTTCCTCTTAAAGATGAAAATTAGAAACATTCTGCCTTAATTATTTTTATTTTTTTGAGACAGTCTTGCTCTGTCGCCAGGCTGGAGTGCAGTGGCATGATCTCAGCTCACGGCAACCTCCGCCTCCTGGATTCAAGCAGTTCTCCTGCCTCAGCCTCCCAAGTAGCTGAGACTACAGGCTCGCGCCACCACACCCATCTAATTTTTGTATTTTTAGTAGAGACAGGGTTTCACCATGTTGGCCAGGATGGTCTTGATCTCTTGACCTCGTGATCCACCCGCCTCGGCCTCCCAAAGTGCTGGGATTACAGGCGTGAGCCACCGCGCCCAGCCTTTGCCTTAATTATTTCTTCTGTTATATCCCCTGCTAGCAAACTTTTGGAATAGGTTTGGGAAATTAATTACCTTTATAAATGGAGTTACTATTTTGCCCAAACATTTCATGTATAATTCTGTAAGGATGATTTTTATAATTTCCTACCCAAATGTCTTGGCACAGTTTTATTTCTCAATTGGTAGTGAATTTCCTAGACTAGGAGGAAAAAGCAGTAAGTCTTCTTACTGCTTCTGGGGAGAAGGGTGGGTGGCTTTACCTTGGTAAGGACATTCTCAGGGCAGCTCAGAATGCTGAGGTTGAGGACTCTGTGGTTGGAAATTCAGCTCAAACCCAAAGGGGTGGAATATTTTGTGAATGGGAAACAAATACACCTTGAGTTGGAAGTTACAAATCAGTGGTCACAGATATGTATTGTTTGTCTCTACAATGTCTAGAAATTTTAACATTAGTTTCCAAGATTTAAAAAATAAGAGATTTCAGGGCCGGGCATGGTGGCTCACACCTGTAATCCCAGCACTTTGGGAGGCCAAGGCGGGTGGATCACTTCAGGTCAGGAGTTCGAGACCAGCCTGGCCAACGTGGTGAAACCCCATCTCTACTAAAAATACAAAAAATTAGCTGGGTGTGGTTGCAGGCGCCTGTAATCCCAGCTACTTGAGAGGCTGAGGCAGGAGAATTACTTGAACCCGGGTGGTGGAGGTTGCGGTGGAGCTGTATCTTACCACTGCATTCCAGCCTGGGCGACAGAGCAAGACTCCATCTCAAAATAAATAAATAAATAAATAAAATAAAATAAAAAATAAGAGATTTCAGATAAGAATACAGAATTGTAACTTCTTTTGGAAATCAGTCAGATTTGGCCATTTCTTGCACGATTACCTGCGGTATTGCTGACTAGCTGCTGCCCTCTTTACACAGGGTGTACACTCCATATATCAGGCTCAGTACAGTCATTTATCTTCACCACCTGGCCACTGCAGGGATCTGTGTTTGGAATACTGATATGGTTTGGCTCTGTCCCCACCCTCCTAAATCTCAACTTGAATTGTAACTCCCAGAATTCCCATGTGTTGTGGGAAGGACCCAGAGGGAGGTAATTGAATCATGGGGGCCAGTCTTTCCCGTGCTACTCTTGTGGTAGTGAATACATCTCATGAGATCTGATGGGTTTATCAGGGGTTTCTGCTTTTGCTTCGTCCTCATTTTTTCTTGCTGCCGCCATGTGCCTTTTGCCTCCCGCCGTGATTCTGAGGCTTCCCCAGCCATGTGGAACTGTAAGTCCAATTAAACCTCTTTCTGTTCCTAGTTTCTGGTATGTCTTTATCAGCAGTGTGAAAACAAACTAATAAATCCCAGCACTCTGGGAGGCCGAGGTGGGTGGATCACCTGAGGTCTGGAATTCGAGACCAGCCTGACCAACATGGAGAAACCCCGTCCCTACTAAAAAAAATACAAAATTAGCTGGGTGTGGTGGCACAAGCCTGTAATCCCAGCTACTCAGGAGGCTGAGGCAGGAGAATGGCTTGAACCTGGGAGGTGGAGTTTGCATTGAGCCGAGATCGTGCCATTGCACTCCACCCTGGGGCAACAAGAGCGAAACTCCATCTCAAAAAAAAAAAAAAAAAAGAAAAAAAAGAAAAGAAAGAAAGAAAACAAACTGATAAAGTAAATCGGTACCAGTAGAGTGGGGCGTTGCTGAAAAGATACCCAAAAATGTGGAAGGGACTTTGGAATTGGGTAACAGGCAGAGGTTGGAACCGTTTGGAGGGCTCAGAAGAAAACAGGAAAATGTGGGAAAGTTTGGAACCTCCTAGAGACTTGATGAATGGCTTTAAAAAAATGCTGATAGTGATATGAACAATAAGGTCCAGGCTGAAGTGGTCCCATAGGGAGATAAGGAGCTTGTTGGAAACTGGAGCAAAGGTGATTCTTGTTATGTTTTAGCAAGGAGACTAACAGCATTTTGCTCTGTGCTAGAGATGTGTGGAATTTTGAACTTGAGAGAGATGATTTAGGGTATCCGGCAGAAGAATTTTCTAAGCAGCAAAACATTCAAAAGGTGACTTGAGTGCTGTTAAAAGCATTCAGTTTTTAAAGGGAAACAGAGGCCAGGCACAGTGGCTCATGGTTGTAATCCTAACACTTTGGGAGGTCGAGGTGGACATATCACCTGAGGTCAGGAGTTTGGGACCAGCCTGGCCAACATAGTGAAATCGTGTCTCTACTAAAAAATGCAAAAATTCGCTGGGTGTGGCAGCGTGCAACTGTAATCCCAGCTACTCAGCAGGCTGAGGCAAGAGAATTGCTTGAACTGGGGAGGCAGAGATTGCAGTGAGCTGAGATTGCAACATTGCACTCCAGCCTGGGCAACAAGAGTGAAACTCCGTCTCAAAAAACAAAAAACAAAAAACAGGAAAACAGAACATAAAAGCTCAGAAAATTTGCAGCCTCTGATGCAGTAGAAAAGAAAAACCCATTTTTTGAGGAGAAATTCAAGCTGGCTGTAGAAATTTGCATAAGTCGCAAGGAGCCTAATGATAATCCCCAACACTATGGGGAAAATGTCTCCAGTCCATGTCAGAGACCTTCACAGCAGCCCCTCCCATCACAGGCCCAGAGGCCCAGGAGGAAAAAGTGGTATAATGGGCCAGGCCCAGGGTCCCCATGCTGTGTGCAGCCTAGGGACTTGTTGCCCCATGTCCCAGCCGCTCCAGCCGTGGCTGAAAGGGACCACTGTAGAGCTCGGGCTGTGGCTTCAGAGGGTGGAAGCCCCAAGCCTTGGCAGCTTCCATGTGATGTTGAGCCTGCACATGCACAGAAGTCAAAAATTGAGGTTTGGGAACCTCTGCCTAGATATCAGAAGATGTATGGAAATGCCTAGATGCCCAGGCAAAAGTTTGCTGCAGGGGCGGAGCCCTCACAGAGAACCTCTGTTAGGGCAGTGCAGAAGGGAAACATGGGGTCGAAGCCCCCAGACAGAGTCTCTACTAGGGCACTGCCTAGTGGAGCTGTGAGAGGAGGGCCACCATCCTCTAGACCGCAGAATGGTAGATCCACGGACAGCTTGCACCATGTGCCTAGGAAAGCCACAGACACTCAACACAAACTTATGAAAGCAGCCAGGAGGGAGGCTATAGCCTGCAAAGCCACAGTGACAGAGCTGCCCAAGACCATGGGCACCCACTTCTTGCATCAGCATGACCTGGATGTGAGACCTGGAATCAAAGGAGATCATTTTGAAGCTCTAAAATTCGACTGTCCTTGGGGCCGGGTGTGGTGGCTCATGCCTGTAATCCCAGCACTTTGGGAGGCCGAGTCAGGTGGATCACAAGGTCAGGAGTTTTAGACCAGCCTGGCCAACATGGTGAAACCCCATCTCTACTAAAAATAGCTACAAAAATTAGCCAGGCATGGTGGCATGGCCCTGTAATTCCAGGTACTTGGGAGGCTGAGGCAGGGGAATTGCTTGAACATGGGAGGCAGAGGTTGCAGTGAGCCGAGATTGCGCCACTGCACTCCAGCCTGGGCAACAGAGCAAGACTCTAAAATAAATAAAATAAAATAAAATAAAACAAAATAAAATAAAATAAAATTTGACTGCCCTACTGGATTTCAGACTTGCATGGGCCCTGTAACCCCTTTGTTTGGCCAATTTCTCCCATTTGGAATAGCTGTCTTTACCCAGTACCTGTACCCCCATTGTATCTAGGAAGTAACTAGCTTGCTTCTGATTTTACAGGCTCATAGGCAGAACGGACTTACCTTGTCTCAGATGAGACTTTGGACTGTGGATTTTTGGGACTTTGGGGAACTGTTGTGAAGGCATGATTGGTTTCGAAATGTGAGGACAAGAGATTTGGAGGTGTCAGGGGCAGAATGATGTGGTTTGGCTGTGTCCCCACCCAAATCTCAACTTGAATTATATCTCCCAGAATTCCCACATGTTGTGGGAGGAATCCAGAGGGAGGAAATAGAATCATGGAGGCCAGTCTTTCCTGTGTTATTCTTGTGGTAGTGAATAAGTCTCACGAGATCTAATGGGCTTATCAGGAGTTTCCACATTTGCCTCCTCCTCATTTTTCTCTTGTTGCCACTATGTAAGAAGTGCCTTTCTCCTCCCGCCTTGATTCTGAGGCCTCCCCAGCCATATGGAACTGTAAGTCCAATTAAACCTCTTTTTTGGCTGGGTGCGGTGGCTCACATCTGTAATCCCAGCACTTTGGGAGGCCAAGGCAGGTGGATCACGAGGTCAGGAGATCGAGACCATCCTGGCTAACATGGTGAAACACCATCTCTACTAAAAATACAAAACAATTAGCTGGGCGTGGTGGCGGGCACCTGTAGTCCCAGCTACTCGGTAGGCTAAGGCAGGAGAATTGCCTGAACCCAGGAGGCGGAGCTCTCAGTGAGCCGAGATCATGCCACTGCACTCCAGCCTGGGCAACAGAGCGAGACTCTGTCTCAAAAAAACAAAAACAAAACTTTTTGTTCCCAGTTTTGAGTATGTCTTTACCAGCAGTGTGTAAATGAACTATAATACAAATACTCTAGGTCATATAAATTGTTTTTTCTTTTTGAGACAGGGTCTTGTTCTGTCACCCAAACTGGAGTGCGGTGGCATGATCTCAACTCACTATAGCTTCCACCTCCTGGGCTCAAGCAGTCCTCCCAACTCAGCCTCCTGAATGGCTGGGACCACAGGCCCACATCACAATGCCTGGGTAATTTTTGTACTTTTAGTAGAGATGGGGTTTCAACATGTTGCTCAGGCTGGTCTCAAACTCCTGGGCTCCAAGCAATCTATCCACCTTGGCCTCCCAAAGTGCTAGGATTCCAGGTGTGAGCCACTGTGATCTTAGGATTTTGTTCAAGGTAAATACAGTGAACTAGTAAATAGAAAGTTATTAAGATCATATATGGCAACTGGATGCATCCCATTATTTTGTTTACCAGTCCCCAGGCACAGGGAATGGTCAGGCAATATTTAGGTGAAAATGTTAATAAAAAATGGAAATAATGGCTGAGCACGGTGGCTCACACCTGTAATCTCAGCACTTTGGGAGGCTGAAGCGGGCGGATCATTTGAGGTCAGGAGTTCGAGACCAGCTTGACCAACATGGTGAAACCTTGTCTCCACTAAAAATACAAAAAAGTTATCTGGCTGTGGTGATGCGCACCTGTAATCCCAGCTTCTTGAGAGGCTGAGGCAGGAGAATCCCTTGACCCTGAGAGGCAGAGGTTGCAGTGAGCCAAGATCACGCCAGTGCACTCCAGCCTAGGAGACAGAGCCAGACACTGTCTCAAAAAAAAAAAAAAAAAAAAAAAAAAAGAAAGAAAAGAAAAAAAAAGAAAATAATGTTTTTGTGCTTTCCTTTCCATGTAGAAAGTCCTTCCCCTGGGCCGTGCATGATGGTGTGCACCTGTAGTCCTAGGTACTCTGGAGGCTGAGATGGAAGGATCGTTTGAGTCTAGGAGTTCAAGGCTGTAGTGCATTATGATCACACCTATGAAGTAGCCACTGCACTCCAGCCTGGGTAATGTAGCAAGACCTCATCTCTAAATAATTATAATAGTGAATAATAATAATGACGACAGTCCTTGCCTTGATTCAAATGAACATCACTGGAAATCTTGACTAATTAGAACCTAGCAATAGTAGTCAACTGTGAAAGATTATACTAGAAGAAGAAATTCCCCAAAGTACTACAGAACTAATAACGATGATGACAATAACAATGTCTTGACATTGAGCAGAGTGCTGGACATTGTTCTAAATAATTTATATACACTATGTCGTCATATTTTAGTTTCCTCATTGTGCACATGTACCCTAAAACTTAAAGTATAATAATAAAAAAAAGAAACACACACAAATAAATAAATGAACTCTACACAGCAAAAAAAAAAAAATTAAATATTTTAGTTTCCTATTTGCTACCTCATCTTCCTTTACTTTTTTTTCCTTTTCTTTCTTCTTCTTTTTTTTTTTTTTTTTTTGAGACGGAGTCTGACTCTGTTGCCCAGGATGGAGTGCAGTGGCGCAATCTCAGCTCACTGCAACCTCTGCCTCCTGGGGTCAAGTGATTCTTCTGCCTCATCCTCCCTAGGAGCTGGGAATATAGGCACGTGCCACTGGGCCCAGCTAATGTTTGTATTTTAGTAGAGATGGGGTTTCACCATGTTGGCCTGGCTGGTCTTGAACTCCTGGGCTCAGGTGATCCACCTGCCTTGGCCTCCCAAAGTGCTGGGATTACAGGCTTGAGCCACTGTGCCTGGCCTGGTTTTGTTGGGTTTTGATGAGGAAGTAGATGGAGGAGGGGAGGTGGTAGCTGTGTCTAGGTCTGTCTCCATCTATTGGCCCTTAGTGCTCTCGTATTTCTCTCTCTTTTGAGTTTCTCATTTTGCTCCTACCACATTTGCTGCCTCAGTCTTGGCTCATTCTCTCTCTCCTCTGCCCTTGTCAGGGAATATTTCTTACTGACATGAGAAGTCAGATGCCAGTAGAAAAAGACACACCAACCATGACAGAAAAGACCTGAAAGAGGATATGCTTGGGGTACAATTAGAGAAAGGCAGGAAAGAACAAACATTCAGTCACTTTTTAGGACCAGTAAGGGCCAAAGGTTAGCATAATCCCGAAGGTACAGCAAACTACAGCATTCATCTTGTGCCTGGGTTGGAGGGTTCAAGGCAGCTGAAGAAATGGAAGATGAGGCCGGGTGCTATGGCTCACGCCTGTAATGCCAACACTTTGGGAGCCCGAGGCAACTGGTTCACCTGAGGTCACGGGTTCGAGACAAGCGTGGCCAACATGGCGAAACCCCGTCTCTACTAAAAATACAAAAATCAGCCGGGTGTCGTGGTGGACACCTGTAATCCCAGCTACTCAGGAGGCTGAGGCAGGAGGAGTGCTTGTACCCAGGAGGCGGAGGTTGCAGTGAGGGAGATCACGCCACTGCACTCTAGACTGTGCCACAGGGCGAGACTCCATCTCTAAAACAAATAAACAAACAACAAAAAAACCAAAAAACCAACGAAGCCCAATGAGAACAGCAGCATGCTGGAAAAGATTCCAGGTTTGTTCAGATGGGTTGTGTATTATGATGATTGTGAGTAGTCTGAAGAAATAGAACAATTCTGTGAAGTTACATTTAGTTGGGATCTACATGCATTGATAGAGAAATGTTTAAATAAAATGTATATCTTCGGCCGGGCGCGGTGGCTCACGCCTGTAATCCCAGCACTTTGGGAGGCCAAGGAGGGTGGATCACGAGGTCAGAAGTTCGAGACCAGCCTAGCCAACATGGTGAAACCCTGTCTCCACTAAAAATACAAAAAGTTAGCTGGGCATGTTGGCAGGCGTATGTAATCCCAGCTACTCGGGAGGTTGAGGCAGGAGAATCGCTTGAACCTGGGAGGTGAAGGCTGCAGTGAGCTGAGACCGTGCCACTACAATCCAGCCTGGGCAACAGAGCGGGCCTCCGTCTTAAAAAAAAAAAAAAAAAAAGTGTATCTTCATATAACGGAATGCTTATGAGAAGGGTTTAATAAAATGGCCTAATACCATATGTTAGATGAACAGAGAACCATGAAATAAAATTATGTATAAAAACACATTTAGGAGTTAAAAGGTGGTGTTAGTTTTTTTGTTTTTTTTTCTGAGACTGAGTTTCACTCTTGTTGCCCAGGCTGGAGTGCAATGGCGTGATGTTGGCTCATTGCAACCTCCACCTCCCGGGTTCAAGTGAGTCTCCTATCTCAGCCTCCTGAGTAACTGGGATTACAGGCGTGTGCCACCATGCCCAGCTAATTTTTGTATTTTTGGTAGAGATGGGGTTTCACCATGTTGGCCAGGCTGGTCCCAAACTCCTGACCTCAGGTGATCTGCCTGCCTCGGCCTCCCAAAGTGCTGGGATTACAGGCGTGAGCCACCGTGCCCAGCTGGTGTTAGTTTTTTAATTGATTAAAATACATTTAAAAGGATAGAATAAAAGGGCAGATGAAAATATGGCAAAATCATAGCAGTTATGGATTTCCAAAAATTTTTCTAGTGACATGTTGTACATACACAATCAGGGAAGAAACTAAAAATCAAACTGAGCATGTGCTTATTGAGTTTTAGTTCCATAAAAGAAACAAAAAAATTATACTACAGCTACAGATGTTACTGTCTCCAGATTTCAAAAATGTTTTCCAACTATCTCAAGGGAACTGGGCAAGAGAGAACAGATGGCTGAGCATAACCTACTCCCAATGCTAGAGAAGTAAATCAAAGTGCATTTCATACTGATGCTACCTCAGTAATACCGGCTTTGAGCAGAGAGGGATGGTGTGAATTATTTTCCCCCACTGTAACCCTTAAAGCCCGCCCGTCCCCCAGCTTTGTTTGAGGAAGGATAGTCTATGACGGATGGATAGCATCTAAGAAGGGATGTTAGTTTGCTAGGGCTGCGGTAACAAAGTAGCACAGACTGGGTGGTAGCAGAAATGTACTTTCTCTTAGCTCCAGAGGCCTGAAGTCCAATATCAAGGCATTAGCAGGGTTGGCCTCTCCTGAGGGCGTCTCAGCTTGTAGATGGTGTCTTTTTTTGTGTCTTCACATGGTTTTCCTTATGTGTGTGTCTGTGTCCTAATCTCCTCTTGTTATAAGGACACCAGTCATATTGAATCAGGGCCCACACTGATAACTTTTTTTTTTCAGACAGGGTCTGGCTCTATCACCCAGGCTGGAGTGCAGTGGCTCCATCATGGCTCACTGCAGCCTCAACCTCTTGAGCTCAAGCAATCCTCCTGCTTCATTCAGCCTCTCAAATAGCTGGGACTACAGAAGTGTGCCACAATGCCTGGCTAATTAAAAAAAAATTTTTTTTTTGGCCAGGGGCGGTGGCTCATGCCTGTAATCCAGCACTTTGGGAGACTGAGGCAGGCGGATCACCTGAGGTTAGGAGTTCTAGACCAGCCTGATCAACATGGAGAAACCCCGTCTCTACTAAAAATAAATACACAAAATTAGCCGGGTGTGGTGGCACATGCCTGTAATCCCAGCTACTCGGGAGGGTGAGGCAGGAGAATCTCTTGAACCTGGGAGGTGGAGGTTGTGGTGAGCCGACATTGCACCATTGCACTCCAGCCTGGGCAACAAGAGCGAAACTCCATCTCAAAAAAAAAAAATTTTTTTTTTTTTGGCCAGGCATGGTGACTCACACCTATAATCCCAGCACTTTGGGAGTCCGAAGCAGGCGGATCACCCAAGATCAGGAGTTCGAGACCAGCTTGGCCAACATGGCAAAACGCCTTCTCTACTAAAAATACAAAAATTAGCCAGGCATGATGGTGGGCGCTTGTCAACCCAGCTACTCAGGAGAATCCCTTGACCCTGGAAGGCAGAGCTGAGATCGTGCCACTGCACTGCAGCCTGGGCGACAGAGCAAGACTCCATCTCAAAAAAATAAAAAAAAAAAAAAAGAAAAAGACAAGTATAACAACCAAACAAATTCCAAACTGCATTGACTTTTTCTACAGCAAGGAAATTTTGATTTGAACCAAAGAATCCTTCATTTCATTTTGTAGCAGGCTCCAGTCCCTTTTGGGAAAGGTAAGGGTATATATAATGAATAAATAAATAATATCACTGTATTTTGCATTGGCAGAAAAAAAATCTGTATGTGCAAGCAACAATCTTTTCCTTGTTTCAATATTAAATTGCTTACTTGGACTAAAGTAAACCTTTAGAAGTATAAAACTGCTTGGTATTCGTATCAGTTAGCATAAATTCAAAGGAAATCAATCAGCATAACCAAATGACATTGAGTCAATGTTGACTTACTCTTCTACTGGACTTCTTTTTTTTTTTGAGACAGGGTCTTGCTCTGTCACCCAGGCTGGAGTGTAGGAATGATCCCCACTTACTGCAACCTCCACCCCCCAGCTCAAGTGATCTCCCACCTCAACCTCCCAAGTAACTGGGACCACCCCGCCATCATACCCAGCTAATTTTTTTTTTTTTTGAGACAGAGTCTTGCTTTGTCCCCCAGGCTGGAGTGCAGTGGCCCAATCTTGGATCACTGCAACCTCTGCCTCCCGGGTTCAAGCGATTCTTCTGTCTCAGCCTCCCGAGTAGCTGGGATTACAGGCACAGGCTGCCACGCCTGGCTAATTTTTCTTTTTTTTCAGGGGAGGTGGGGGGACAGGGTTTCACTGTTGTTGCCCAGGCAGGAATGCAATGGCGTGATCTCGGCTCACCACAATCTCCGCCTTCCAGGTTCAAGCAATTCTCCTGCCTCAGCCTCCTGAGTAGCGTGGATTATAGGCATGCACCACCACGCCCAGCTAATTTTGTATTTTTAGTAGAGACAGGGGTTTCTCCATGTTGGCAGGCTGGTCTTGAACTCCCAACCTTAGGTGATCCGTCTGCCTTGGCTTCCCAAAGTGCTGGGATTACAGGTGTGAGCCACTGCGCCCGGCCACCTGGCTAATTTTTTGTATTTTAGTAGAAACGGGGTTTCACCATGTTGCCAGGCTGGTCTTGAACTCCTGAGCTCAGGCAATCCACTCACCTAGGCCTCCCAAAGTGCTAGGATTACAGGCGCAAGCCACCACACCCGGCCCTTTTTTTGTATTTTTAGTAGAGATGTAGTCTCATCATGTTGCCCAGGCTGGTTTGAACTCAAGTGATCCACCCTGTCCTCCCAAAGTACTAGGATTACAGGTGTGAGTCACCACTCCCGGCCAAGACTTCTTTTTATTTACATTTCATGGGAATTATATTTTGGAGATGCCTAAGGCACAGAAAACTTAAATGATGCTATAGACTGAATTGTTTTCCCCCACCCATTCATGCGTTTAACCCCTAACCCCCAATATCACTGTATCTGGAGACAGGATCTTTAGGAGGTAATTAAGGTTAAGAGAGGTGCACTGATCCCAGCCCCTCTCTCTGCCACATGAGGACACTTAGAGAAGGTGGCAGCCACAAAGCAGGAAGACCGCTCTTGCCAGAAGCAGCAGCTGCAGGCACACTGATCTTGGGCTTCCTAGTCTCCAGAACTGTGAAAATAAATTTATGTTTATTTATTTACAGACAAGGTCTCACTCTGTTGCCCAGGCTGGATTGCAGTGTCATGATCATGGCTCACTGCAGCCTCAAATTCCTAGACTCAGGTGATTCTCCCACCTTGGCCTCCCAAAGTGCTGGGATTACAGGCATGAGCTACCATGCCCAGCCAATTCTGTTGTTTAAGCCACCCAGTCTGTGTGTTTTGTTATAGCAGCCGGCAGACTCATACAAATGACCTGCCTAAACCCTTGACTGTCTCCTTTGTAGCTTTCAGGTCTTCATCTTACATATGTCTTCATTATTTCCTTTTCTGAAGAAATGACACCCAGTCCACCCTAGCAAAAGTAAGCCCCATGCTCATTCTCTGTCAGAGCACTTTTTTGTTTCTTTTTTTTTGAGATGGAGTTTTGTTCTTGTTGCCCAGGCTGGAGTGCAGTGGTGTGATCTCAGCTCCCTACAACCTCCGCCTCCCAGGTTCAAGTGATTCTCCTGCCTCAACCTCCCGAGTAGCTGGGATTACAGGCGCCCACCACCATGCCCGGCTAATTTTTATAGTTTTAGTAGAGACAGTGTTTCACCGTGTTGGCCACGCTGGTCTTGAACTCCTGACCTCAGGTGATCCACCCGCCTCAGCCTCCCAAAGTGCTGGGATTATAGGTGTGAGCCACCAGGCCCAGCCATCAGAGCACTTTTTAGAAAGCATTTATCCTGGCCGGGTGCGGTGGCTCACACCTGTAATCACAGCATTTTGGGAGGCCGAGGCAGGTGGATCACGGGGTCAGGAGTTTGAGACCAGCCTGGCTAAGATGGTGAAATCCCATCTCTACTAAAAAATACAAAAATTAGCCAGGCGTGGTGGTGGGCACCTGTAATCCCAGCTACTTGGGAGGCTGAGGCAGGAGAATTGCTTAAACCCGGGAGGCAGAGGTTGCAGTGAGCTGAGATCGCACCACTGCACTCTAGCCTGGGTGACAGAGAGAGACTCTGTCTCAAATAACATAACATAACATAACATAACATAACATAACATAACATAACATAACATAACATAACATAACATTACATAACATAACATAAAATGCATTTATCCTAGTCGGTATTGATTTGTTTACTTGTTGATTTTCACTTGCATATCACGGAGACCCTCTCTCTCTTGCTCTGTCAAGTGCCTTCTCAAGGCGGAAGGCCTCACACATGGCAGGCAGTACAAGGAAATCCTCTGTCTATCAACAACTGTGCCCTATCGGGCTGAGCAAATAGGCCTGAGGACTTTAGTTTTCCAGTCACAATGAAGAACATGTAATAAGTGGGGCCAGTGGAAGCTGTTTCCAACCTAGGCTAGGCAATTAACCCACTGACTCAATGTGATGATGCTGTCTTGATTTGATTCTCTACTTCATTCAAAACAGGCTCAGACTGAATAGAAAAGAGAATCTGTTCAAAGTTTGGTTACAGATTCCACTTGTTAATTGATGATGATGGTGAACGAGCAGAGTGTATGACATTTTGCTAAGTGTTCATTGTGAAAAGAGTTCAGAGCTTGGATCCAGGAACTTGCCCCACCAATGGGGTTTTGCTGTAGGCAGCTGTACGGCCTTGGGCGAGGCATTTACCCCTTTCTCTCTCTGTGTTCTTTCTTTCTTTCTCTCCCTTCTTTCTCCTTTCTTTTCTCTTCTCTTCTCCTTCCTTCCTTTCTCTCTCTCCCTTCCTCCCTTCCTTCCTTCCTTCCCTCCCTTCCCTCCCTTCCTTCCCTTCCTTCCCTTCCTTTCCTTCCTTTTCTTTTTTGAGACAAGGTCTGGCTCTATCACCCAGGCTGGAGTGCAGTGGCATGATCTCTGCTCACTGCAACCGCCACCTCCCAGGTTCAAGCAGTTCTCATGCCTCAGCTGCCTGAGAAGCTGGAACTACAAGTATGTACCACCATGCCCGGCTAAATTTTTTTTTTTTAGAAATGCGTTTTTGCCATGTTGCCCAGCCTGGTCTCAATCTCTTACAATCTCAAGTTGCCAGAAGGTGCTCCTTTGCCTCTTAGGAGGGTGACAAGGTGGTAGATAAACTTCTCCATGGCCAAAGATGGCATGCTCCCTGTAGAACCTGCTCCCTTCAGAAACTCCCCCACCAGGGCTGGGCGCAGTGACATACCTGTAATCCCAGCACTTCGAGAGGCTGATGTGAGAGGATTACTTGAAGTCAGGAGTTCGAGACCAGCTTGCGCAAGGTAGTAAGACTACCCCAACTTCTCTGTAAAACATTGAAAAAATTGAAATAACAAAAAAGAAAGAAACTTCCCTACCAGAATATGAATTAAGGTGTTTCCCCATGAAGAAATCACATCGTAAAATAGCATGATTAATACAATCACATTCTAACAATAGCATGAGTATGAGGTCAAGCCTGGTCACACCCTCCAACTCTGTAAAAGAAAACTTAGCTGGGGGCTGGGCATGGTGGCCCACGCCTGTAATCCCAGCGCTTTGGGAGGCCGAGGCAGGTGGATCACTTGAGGTTAGGAGTTCGAGACCAGCCTGGCCAACATGGTGAAACCCTGTCTCTACTAAAAATACAAAAAGTAGCCAGGTATGGTGGCGCATGCCTGTAGTCCCAGCTGCTCGGGAGGCTGAGGCAGAAGAATCGCTTGAACTCGGAAGGCAGGGGTTGCAGTGGGCTGAGATCTTGCCACTGCACTCCATCCTGGGAGACAAGAGAGAGACTCTCCATCTCAAAAAAAAAAAAAAAAAAAAGTCAGGCACAGTGGCTCATGCCTGTAATCCCAGCACTTTGGGAGGCCGAGGTGGGTGGATCACGAGGTCAGGAGTTCAAGACCAGCCTGACCAGCATGGTGAAACCCCGTCTCTACAAAAATTAGCCGGGCGTGGTGGTAGTCACTTGTAATCTCAGCTACTCGGGAGGCTGAGGCAGGGGAATCGCATGAACCTGGGAGGCAGAGGTTGCGGTGAGCTGAGACCACACCACTGCACTCCAGCCCGGGCGTCAGAGCGAGACTCTGTCTAAAAAAAAAAAAAAAGACCAGGCATGGTGGCTCATGCTTGTAATCCTAGCACTTTGGGAGGCCAAGGCGGGGGGATCACGAGATCAGGAGATCGAGACTATCCTGGCTAACATGGTGAAACCCTGTCTCTACTAAAAATACAAAAATAATTAGCCAGGCATGGTGGCGGGTGCCTGTAGTCCCAGCTACTTGGGAGGCTGAGGCAGGAGAATAGTGTGAACCCAGGAGGCGGAGCTTGCAGTGAGCCGCGTTGCTCCACTGCACTCCAGCCGGGGCAACAGAGCAAGACTCCTTCTCAGAAAAAAAAAAATTTAGCCGAGAGAGGAAAGGGAAAGGCTCTTTTGCATTAGAGTTTAGAGAACTGATTGTAGAGCTAACAGGCAACTTGCAGGCCAGCGTTCCCTCAAGTAGAAATGAACTCTAATACCCATGATCAAGCCCAGGAACGTGTTGGTTTCTTTTTTCTATGCCTCTAAGAAGTTAATTAATTCCAGCTGAGTCCTAGCCTTTCCTGGCCAACGTACCTGGCTATCTCCACAGTCAATCTCACACCTATGAAAGCTTATACTTTTTCTAAGGGATGGTGTAATAGTTGGGAGAGCTAACCCAGGATTAGACAGGCCAAGGTGGTCCAAGTTGGGAATTTAATTATATAAGTGCATAACTCACCATTTTCTACTTTTCCTGACATATAGATACAAACCCTCAAAATGACAGGAAAGTAAATTTTAAAATGAAGGAAGGGCAGGAAGGAAGAAAAGAAGAAAGGGAGTTCAAATGTTAAACATTAAAATGGTCTACTCTCTTGAGTACACCTGCAGATATTCCTCAAGTTCTAGCATTGGCCCATCTCTCTCTCTTTCTCTTCCATGATGATTTTGTAACTTAGGTACTGTTTGCCAAATGTCCAACCTAACTTTCAAACAATATTCAGAGCAGCTGTTTTCAATTCTCATCTTTATGCAGTGAACTCTGAAATCCACATCTCTATTTTGTTTTTTGTTTTTTGAGACGAGTCATGCTCTGTCACCCAGGCTGGAGAGCAGTGACACGATCTCAGCTCACTGCAACCTCCGCCTCCCGGCTTCAAGCGATTCTCCTGACTCAGCCTCCTGAGTGGCTGGGATTACAGGCACCCGCACCACACCCAGCTAATTTTTGTATTTTTAGTAGAGACAGGGTTTCACCATCTTGGCCAGGCTGGTCTTGAACTCCTGACCTTGTGATCCACCCACCTTGGCCTCCCAAATTGCTGGGATTACAGGCGTAAGCCACCACGCCCGGCCTTATGTCTCTATTTTAATCTTCTCATTTACTCTGGGTCTGTATTTTTAGCACTTACTGGACACCTCCACCTGGATGTGCCACGACCCTTGGCCTTGCTGGGCCCAGGAGGACCTTCTGCTTCCTCCCAAACCAACATCTTCTGTGTTACCTATTCCTGTTCATGATGGACTTCTGATGAGCCCGGTCACCCAGGCTCTAGGTAAGTGGGTCTCAACTTGGCTGAACACTACATTAGCAAGAGGGACATTTTTTTTTTGGAGACAGAGTTTTCCTCTTGTTGCCCAGACTGGAGTGCAATGGCGTGATCTTGGCTCACCGAAACCTCTGCCTCCTGGGTTCAAGCAATTCTCCTGCCTCAGCCTCCCGAGTAGCTGGGATTATAGGCATGCACCACCACGCCTGGCTAATTTTGTTTTTTTTTTTTTAGTAGAGATGGCGTTTCTCCATACTGGTCAGGCTGGTCTTGAACTCTGACCTCAGTGCCTCCGAAAGTGCTGGGAGCCACCATGCCCGGCCTAAGAAGGACATTTTTGAAAGCTCCCCAGCTGATTGTAACGTGCAGCTAGTGTTAAGAACTACTCTGCCTTTCTTTCTTTTTTTTTTTTTTGAGGTGGAGTCTCGTGCTGTCTCCCAGGCTGATGTGCGGTGGCATGATCTCAGCTCACTGCAACCTCCGCCTCCTGGGTTCAGGCAATTCTCCTGTCAGCCTCCCAAGTAGCTGGGACTACAGACACATGCCCCCACACCTGGCTAATTTTTTGTATTTTTAGTAGCGACAGGGTTTCACTGTGTTAGCTAGGATGGTCTCCATCCTGACTTCATGATCCTCCTGCCTCAGCCTCCCATAGCGCTGGGATTACAGGTGTGAGCCACCGCACCCGGCCTACTCTGCTTTTTGCAGGCTCACAGTTGCGAGTCCAATCTGTGACTTTTACCCCTAACGTAGCTCAGAAATCTATTTCCTTCCTTCTTTCCACCCTCCTTCCCTCCCTCCCTCCCTCACTCCCATCCTCCTTCCCTTCCTTTCTGACAGAGTCTCTGTCACCCAGGTGGGAGTGCAGTGGCACGATCTTGGCTTATTGCAACCTCCACCTCCCAGGTTCAAGTGATTCTCCTGCCTCTGCCTCCTGAGTAGCTGGGATTACAGGCATGTGCCACCACACCCAGCTAATTGTATTTTTAGTAGAAATAGGGATTCACCATGTTGGCCAGGCTGGTCTTGAACTCCTGGCCTCAGGTGATCTGCCCACCTCGTCCTCCCAAAGTGCTGGGATTACAGGCGTGAGCCACCGTGCCCAGCTCTATTTCCTTCTTTCTATTCCCAGTATTATCCCTTTAGTTTAAACACCATGAAAGCACATCTTGGTTTCTTGTTTTCCCTGCTCCTACTCATGCCTGACAAATCCTTTCAATGTATGGTTCTGATCATATTAGCCCTCATTTCAAAACCTTCCTGCCATGTGCCTTAGTCAGGCAGTCATATCTGTTAATGATGAGGCCCCTGCCTCTTAGCCAAGCTTGTTAAGTATCCTCTACTCCCCCCATTAAAAAAAAAAAATAGGCCGGGTGCGGTGGCTTACGACTGTAATCCCAGCACTTCGGGAGGCCAAGGCGGGCGGATCATGAGGTCAAGAGGTCGAGATCATCCTGGCTAACATGGTGAAACCCTGTCTCTACTAAAAATACAAAAAATTAGCTGGGCGTGGTGGCGTGCGCCTGTAGTCGCAGCTACTCAGGAGGCTGAGGCAGGAGAATCGCTTGAACCCAGGAGGCAGAGGTTGCAGTGAGCCGAGGTCGCGCCACTGTACTCCAGCCTGGGCAATGGAGTGAGACTCCATCTAAAAAATAATAATAATAAAAATAAATAATAGAAACCGGGCCTCACTATGTTGCCCAGGCTGGTCTCAAACTCCTGGGCTTAAGTGATCCTCCCACTCTGGCCTCCTGAATTGCTGGGATTACAGGTGTGAGCCACCCTGCTTGACTTCTACTCCCTTTAATGAACGCTTATGACAACGAAGGAAAGTTGCTTGCCCTTCCCTACACATGCCCTTTTCCTGCCTCTGTGCCTTTGCTCACGCAGTTTCCGCCCCCTGGGGCACCATTCTGCACATGTCTCCATCCTGTGTTTTCATCAAGGGCTGGCCCAAATGCTACCATCTCCCAGGACAGCCTTCCCTGATCTGTCCAGCTAGGAGTAAATTCTTCCTTTGAATTCTCTTAGAATTTACATATTCTGTCAAAAAACCACTGAAGGGAGAGCAATTTGCAAAATAATGAATTGTTTTTCTGCTTTAGGACATTGGTTCTCAAAATTGAGTATACATGAGAATCATTTGGAGAACTCATTTCAAATGCATACCCCAGGCAGAGCGTGGTGGCTCATGCCTGTAATCCCAGTACTTTGGGAGGCCAAGGCAGGAAGATCGCTTGACGCTTGAGCCTGGGAGGTTGAGGCTGCAGTGAGCTGTGGTTGTGCCACTGCACTTCAGCCTGGGCCACAGAGCAAGACCCTGTCCCCCGCCAAAAAAAAGAAGAAGAAGAAGAAGAGGAACAAGCCTGTTGCTTATTTCAAGAGATTCTCAGGCTTATTTCCAGAGATTCTCAGTTTTTTCTCACATGGTGTTCCTGTCCACCATACTTTAAGAAACATTGAGCTAAGAGGTTCTTTGTTAATTTCACGTCAGGTGGATTCATGAATACGTCGACTTGTTGGAGTTTCGTGATATAAATCCAGCCATACTAGCAAACTGTTAACAGTCCTGAAAACAGTGTAAAGTTTTTCATATACCAGGACTGAAAACTCAAGTGGATGGGTAGGTTGAGGGTTCACTGCTGAGGACCACAGGAAGTGGTAGGACTACAAGGGACTACGGAGCATCTCTGGTATTCACCTTTCAGTAACGATTTCCATCTGAGAATTTGGAGCAACTACTGCCAGAATTTCCATTTTCCCAGAAAGTTGGAAATCCAGAATTTTAGGTGACATTTCCAGATTATTACATGGTAACTTAAGGTTTTAACAACTCTGTGAGGTTTGATATAACCCAGTTGCAATTGATTTAATCCAACAATTAGCTTTCATAATTGAAGTGTAAATAGAAGTAAATGTTGGTTTGTTTTGCTGCAGAATGACATAAACCATTATTTCATCTATATAGTGACAAGAAATCCACAGAAATGAAGAGACAGGCTCATTTTAGGATTTCCTGGAATCATTAATTTTTAAAAAATTATTTTCTCTCTCCTTCCTTCCTTCCTCTCTCTTCCCTTCCTTTCCCTTTCCTCTTCCTTTCCTTTCCCTTCTTCCCTTTCCTTCCTTTCTTTTTCTCTTTCCCTTCCCTTCCCCTTCCCCTTTCCCTTCCCCTCCCCTTCCCCTTTCCCTTCCCCTCCCCTTCCCCTTTCCCTTCCCCTCCCCTTCCCCTTTCCCTTCCCCTCCCCTTCCCCTTTCCCTTTCCCTCCCCCTCTCCCTTTCCTTTTCTCTTTCCTTTCCTTTTTCTCTCTCCCTGTCCAGGGGCCCAATCTCAGCTCACAGCAACCTCTGCCTCCCGGGTTCAAGTGATTCTCCTTCCTCAGCCTCCCGAGCAGCTGGGATTACAGGCCCCCACTACCATGCCCGGCTAATTTTTGTATTTTTAGTAGAGACGAGGATTTGCCATGTTGGCCAAGCTGGTCTCAAACTCCTGACCTTGGCCGGGTGTGGTGGCTCATGCCTGTAATCCCACCACTTTGGGAGGCCGAGGCGGGCAGATCATGAGGTCAAGAGATTGAGGCCATCTTGGCCAACATGGTGCAACCCTTTCTCTACTAAAAATACAAAAATTAGCTGGGTATGGTGGCATGCGCCTGTAGTCCCAGCTACTCAGGAGGCTGGGGCAGGAGAATTGCTTGAACCCAGGACGTGGAGCTTGCAGTGAGCCGAGATGGCACCACCGCACTCCAGCCTGGGCGACAGAGCAAGACTCTGTCTCAAAAAAAAAACAAAAACAAAAAACAACTCTTGACCTCAGGTGATCCGCCTGCCTCGGCCTCCCAAAGTGCTGGTATTACTGAGCCACCTCCCCTGGCCTACAGATTTAAAATATATATCTTTTCATATTTTTAGTACTCAGAGATGGATGATTAGATATAGTGTCTCTCTCCATTAAAGTCAACAACTGTGGGCCAGGTACGGTGGCTCATGCCTGTAATCCCTGCACTTCAGGAGGCGGAGGCAGGAGGATCACTTGAGGCCAACAGTTCAACACCAGCCTGGGCAATATAGGAAGACCCCATCTCTACAAAAAAATTTTAAAATGAGCCAGTCATGGTGGCGTGCACCTCTAGCCCAGCTGGTTGGGAAGCCAAGCTGGGAAGATGGCTTAAGCCCTGGAGTTTGAGGCTGCAGTGAGCTGTGATGGTACCACTGCCCTCCAGCCTGGGCAACAGAGTGAGGCCTTATCTAAAAAAAAAAAAAAAAAAAAAAAAAAAAAAAAAAAAAATCAACAACTGTGGCTGGTGGCTCACACCTGTAATCCCAGCACTTTGGGAGCCCAAGGCAGGAGGATCACTTGGAGCCAGGAGTTTGAGGCCAGCCTAGGCAACATAGTGAGACCTTGTCTCTACAAAAATAAAAAAAGAAAAATAAATCAACAGGCTGGGTGTGGTGGCTCACGCCTGTAATCCCAGCACTTTGGGAGCCCGAGGCGGGCAGATCACTTGAGATCGGGAATTTGAGACCAGCCTGGCCAACATGGTGAAACCCCGTCTCTACTAAAAATACAAAAATTAGCCAGGCGT